>NT_187549.1:0-172708 GCF_000001405.40 Homo sapiens
ATCGTCCTAAAGAAGCATGAGTTCCTCAAAGCAGAATCTGTGCCTCATCCACCTTTGTATCATTAATGTCTAGTACAGTACCTGGCACAGAGTAGTTCCTTGAATAGTTAATGAATGGACGATGTTCTATCTGCAAAACTCTGAAAGATGCATAGTTTGGCATTTCACTAGATCCTGAATCACATCATCTTTTGTCTCAGCTCCTCAAGATTGGCTAATAACACCTTATTGAAAAAATATATGAATTAGCAAGGGAAAACTGAATGTGTCATGCCAGAGTGGTAGCATACTTCCAGTACTTCCATCTCACCACATCTTTCAGAAAATAACACATGATTCTGTTGCTGTCACCAGTGTACAAACTGCTGCTTAGTAGGGTTTTTACACAAATGAAGAAGCAATACAATTCAAAAGTCGTAAGTATAATGGCTCATTACAATCAGCTGTGAACTAAAACAGGAACAAAACTTGTTGCACTAACTTTTGCGATCAAATTTTAGAAGGTTTTGGAAAGAGGGGTGGGGGAAGTGGGGACAGGGAAAGACAAAAGGGGAGTAGAGAGAGATGAGAGGAGGCAAGGGAGCAAAGAAAGGGGGAAGGGACAGAAAGAGCAGAGAAAGAGAGACAGAATGAGACAGTGCCATTCAAATAACTTTAAAAAGTTTAGCTCCCAAGCTATATTCTTGGACTCCAGGAGAAAAATTAATTGCAAGGAAATTGTTCAAAATTCAAGTGTACATAACCCTTTTACCTACAGGAAATTAATAGTTGCCTTACCTATGGACTAAAGCCAGAAGTTGAGGAATAAGAATAGTTTGAGATTATACACAGGCCTACAAAAAGAGCTAGATGGGAAGTCAGGATATGTGGGTTTCAGGTATGACTTCATGGCTCTATTACTCTTTCTTTGTAATGAGAAAAAAGAATTTTGGGTTTTGGTCTAGGTGCCTCAAAGGCCTCTTCTAGTTTTAAAATGTCATGTTAGAGAAAAAATATTTTTATAGGAGTATAAAATTTACAAAAATAGGTAACATATGCTATGGACAAAGAGAATTCAGATTATGATAAAACAGAGAAAACTGAGGTCCCTAATATACCAAATATTACAGAAAAGAAAGACTCTTTACTCCAGATGGCTAATTGAATAGAAGATTTCTGTGAATGCACATGAAAATGGCAAGAGTAGACATAAACTTGGTGTGAAATAAATCAGAACAACCATGCATTTTTTTACAGTGTAGAAACTTGTATTTATAAACAAGGAAACAAGAAAAGTGAAGGACAGAATAAGATAAAGGAGCACATGTAACTCATATATTCTAGGTTCAATGCATTAGTGAAAATGACAGATAAAAAGAAATTTTTTCTCCTTCTTGGATCCATTACAAGGTATTTGTAGAGACTGAATACTATTTCAGCTAATGTGTGTAGAAGCTCTGGATTTTCCTACTAAAAACAGCACTTTTTTTTTTTAACAGTCTGACTTTTAACAATCAGAGATTAAATGGAGCATGTGTTGAGACTCTCCATCTTTGGCATTCCAACTGTTTTTTCATAAAAATGAAAAATAAAAAACACAAAATGCAAAAAACACTGTATCACATAAATAACACATTAGTTGCTATTTCTTCTGCTTGATGAGACTTTTTCTTGATTCAGTCAGCTCTATATCTCTGGCACAGAAAACCTGGGGAAAGGGGATGAAGGGATAGCAAACATGAAATCAATTCTTGTTCTCATTAAGTGAATTCTTTCACATTAAGTGAAAGAAAGAAAAAGATAACAGATTAGTTGTCCACCACCAAATTGCCTGGATGGTAATGGACAGAAAAAAAATGAAATGGCATAAATTGATATGATTATCAGTAGATTTACATCCAATTTCTGAGCTCTCGATGAGTGTGTAGCTAACTTAGTATCACGAAGCCATGGCAAAACTACTGCACATTATTTACATCAACAACAAGCCAGCACAAACTGAGGGCACAGATTCCAGTTGCTGCTAAAATTGCTCCATCCTTGACTTGCAGGGCAGAGTTTCAGCTATGGAACAGCCAAGGAGGCTTTAAGGTCTGAGACAACATTGTGCAAACATTTTATATCCTATAAAACAATACGGAAAGATCCTGTGTTCAGCAACAGAGAAATCTAGATCAAAAGAAACATTTAGAATGAGCAGTTTATGTTGAATTCGACTCACAATGAACAATGTCTTGAGAGAGTTGTCATTCTTGTCACAAACTTTGCAAATATGTGACTCTGCTGTCCATTATCCCAAAACCCACATACTGTCCTTCATTTTCTAAAAGCAAGGAAAATTGCAGATGGCAACAACCTGCAGAAAACTAAATAGCAACTTAGTAATGAGATGTTTGAAGGAATCATGTTGAGACAAACCAGACTCTAGATAAATCAGCCTAAGTATTTTTCACTTATTGTTGAGGATCTCCATGACCACAGTTTTTGACATGGAAAGAACCTGTGAGAGTTCTGGATGACTGTTTCCAAGAGTAACTAAAAAGTTGTTGTTTGTTTTTCCCCCCCAGAAAGTCAAACACCATTTTTAGCTAAAAGCCAAACAATAAGCATATTAGTAACCATTAGGTGATTTCTAGAACTAAGAATGTTTTCATTTCTTTTTGGTTTCTAATTTAAAAAAATAACATCATCAGTTAGTAGGGTGTACTTTAAAATAAAAAATAAAAATCAAAGGATATGTTTGTATTGTATAGAAAAATGACTTTCTGGAATTTTATTTAGCTCAGTAAGGCTCACAATGAAGATATACACGATAAGAAACTCAGTATTCCTCAGATGAATATTGAGACTTGAATGCTGTTTTGTGATGTCTTCATATATTTAAATATATAAAATGGCACATCAGCAGACTAAGATTTCTTGACAAAATCACCATTAGATTATAGATATCTTTCTTTCAAGGTTGACCCTTCTCTCCTATTTTAAAAAATTTTGATTATGAAAAATTTCAAACATGCCGCGAAGTTAAAATAGTATTGTAGTGAACATCTGTATACTCATCACCTAGATTCTACCATTAACATTTTACTGTATTGCTTTATTCTCTATTCATTTGTCTGTCCATCCTCCTAGGTATCAATCAATCCATCTTATTTCTTGATGCATTTCAAAGTACGTTGCAGACTTCAGTACATTTCCCCCAATTCTCCATTAGGTGTATTAGCTAGAATTCAACATTTCTTTACAGTTTTATTCTTATGATTAAAATTGATGATCAATAAAAGACACATATCTTAAATGTGAATTCTGTGTTTTGAAAAATGTATGCATCAGTGTTACCAGAACTATCACAATATTAAATATTACCATCACTCCAGAAAGTTCCCTACACCCCTTCCCAGTCAGTACCTACTTTCTGCCCCTCAGAAGCAATCATTGTTCTTATTTTTGTTCCCACCAAAGATTAGTTTTCTTTAGAGCATCCTTTGAATGGAATTATACACCCTTTGAATGGAATTATATGTATTACCTTAACTCTGCCTACTGCCCAAGTCAACCTGCATTCTGAAACTTATCTGAGTTTACATAGAAAACATGCAATTCATTAATTCTAATTCTGCTCTTGCATAAGTCGTCTTTCAGTTGGCATGTTGTTTGGTGTATCAGTAGTTTGATATTTTTTATTGCAGAGGGAGATTCTGTTATGATTATACCAAAATTTGTTTATTCATTCTATTTATGAACACCAGCACTGTTTCCAATTTTTGGCTATTATGGATAATGTTGCTGTGGACATTTCTATATAGATCTTTAGATCCTGCATCTTATTTCAGGTTCCCAGTCTCTCCCCACAAAACTGACAGTCCATTGGGTTTATGTAGACAACTGTGTACTTCAGACTACCAAATAAGTTTCCATTTCAGGCCCTGCTTGGGCTTGATAAATTCAGTGTAGCACTTTTTTTTTTTTTCATCAAGCATTTGAGCACAGATGGAAAGAATAAAAAAAGAAGAAGTAATGACCTTAGGCATATTCTTGAAGTGTGAATGCACTGTTTTCGTCAAATAACTTCTATGTGAAATATCAGTTTGCAATTCTAGGAGGAAAAAAAAATAAAAGAATTGTTGTATAATCTCTGTACTTCTTCCATAAAGATTGACTGTGACTTAAAATAGCCTGGAGTTATTAATGCTGTAAATCTTTCTGAAAGAGATTTCAGTGCTTGTTCTTCTTGCTCTCAAAAAACAAAACAAAACAAAAGTATAGCTCTCATATAAGTGACACAATTTCGAACTCTATCAAGATTAGTCTGTTTCTAATGCCCAGGGCTAAAATAAATTGTGAAATTCTTAAATATTTATTTAAATAACTGAAAGTATTGTAACAAAGTTTGCTGGTTTAGATAGACCGTTTCAAATGGGCCACCTGAATATTTGAAACTTTGACTTCTGTAAGACTATACAAGGATGATGACCATATTATTGAATCAAATTCTTCAAAGAAATTAGAAACAACTACTTATGTGTAATTATAAGTTGCAAGGGGGTAGTTGGGTAGGAGTAAACAGAAGGGTTTCTCCTAATTTATGCAGTTTTATGCCAAAGGTTATTAAAATGTCATCTAAATTCTTTTTTCTGGAAACCTATGACTATATGATCACACAATTGAAAATCCTGCATAAATGTCATAGAATGAGTCTTCTAAAATATGGAATAATTTTTAAATTATGAAATGTCTAGAGAGATTACATATTTATTCCATGTATTTAAAAAATAAATGTAGTTATCTTTCTATTTTGTCTCTATCAATTCACCTACAATATTTCACTTCTAACACTTCTATTTTTCAGGAAGAAAAATGGACGCTATAAGCTATTACAAGCAAAAAGAGATAAAGTTGTTTCATTAGATTAATATCAAGAAAGGGAAGTGCATGCACAATGCATGAGATCTATAGAATGATACAAATTATTACTAATCTTACTGAAATGAATATTATATCAGCATTTGAAGTGACAGTAATAGCAGATCCTTTAAAATTTTTGTTTTTATTATTATTTTTTTTTAAATAGATGAGAACAGAAAACAGGGTATGGGTCAGGTGAGCCATCTGGCACTAATTTTAACCACCATGGAGGAACCAATAAACCCTGTACTAATATTCCAATCTCTTCACTAATGGTGATAATCAGAACATCTGGTTAGGGTTTTCCTTTACTAGGGTCTCCTGCAAAGATTGTATTAGGTAGAGAAGTTCCTGTTGAGCTGTGTTGACTATCAACAACAGCTTCCTCCACCCTGTCTCTGTCTAACTCTAGCCAGACATATTACCTTACCTCTGCCTACAGCCCAAACCAACCCACATTCTGAATCTCATCTGAGCTTACATAGAAGGCATGCAATTCATTAATTCTAAGAGCAAAACACAGTTTCTACTAATTTTGTGCCTGTTCTTAAACTTTTTGTCTAAACTCTGATTTCTTGTTTTCTAGACTCTATCTTGGGTTTCTGCTACCATATTGCTCAGAATCTACTTTGGGAGCTGACCCTTGGTTCTTCACCCTCCTCAATATTTCTTCTCTGTGTTCTCAGACATTCTAGATTTAGTTCTTGTTTCTCTAGCGACCCTTGATTGCTTCTTTTTCTCTACACCTCTTAACCTGCTTGGATTGCACCCAAGAGTTTAAAATAGATGATAGATAGATAGATAGATGGATAGATAGACAGACAGACAGATAGATAGATATCTCTCCTTTGGCCAATCCAAATTATAAGTCTAATTAAGTATAGCAGAATTCTCAGAGCAGAATTCTGAGGTATGTGGATTCTACTTTGGACTTACCATAATTAGAATTCTGATCTGGGATTTCTGTTCGTCTATACAATGGGAAAGCCATATAGCCAATTTTGTTTCCAGTTATGGCATTCTGTAATAGTATATATATCTTTATGGGAATAACAATTATAACCCACTGTGTGCTACTAAGTAGGTTCAAATATATTCAAAGTTCTCCAGTTACAATGACTATCCCCAAATAAGTGAGAATATCTAGTCAATAGACATTTGCAGTAATCTCAACCTGGCTGCACATAAGAAATATATGGGGAACTTTTACAGAATGTATTGCCTGGGTTCCATTCAAACCAGTTAAATTTAGACCCTGGGAGCAGATATATATATTTTGTAAAATCTCCCACATGTGATTCTAATGTACAGCAAAGATTGTGAACTACTGCAGCAGTCAACATGAGTCAGCTTATTGGACACAGATATTTTTTAAATGACCATTTAAGGAGTAAATCAGACAACATATTTCCTGGAACAATATGGAATATTAATAAATGCATGAATTCATGAAGTAAAATGTCCTATCAGTGCGGACAAAGCTTACCTTTTAGAAAATATAAACATAATGATTTTTGGCCCTAAACTTTATTTGACTCTTATATACATACTGGTTTATCTAAAAGATAATAACTCATCGATCTTTGAAATATGATAGAGATTCTAGTCTTTGGGAAATTTTTCCATTTCTCCTAATAATTTAGTTATATACATTATTTTTAGTCAATAAGTCAGTAGGGTTGTGAATGGGGTGCTAATATCACAGACCTGCAAAGAGCGTTGATCAGGAAAATCACCTGGATTTACTTGATTGATAATGAATTGATCTCATTACCTTTCCACACTCTTGCTCTTAATAAAATTTCACACATATTCACACAAGTATAAAATAATAAGAGCAGAGGACAAAGCCCATGAGTAAGATAAAATGCATAACAGAAGTAATCACTGTGTATTACTACTGCAAAAATCAATAAAGCAAATATGTTATTCTTTTTAAGTGTCATATTACAATAATGTTTTTCTGAAGACTGTTGTCTGCATCCAGTTTAAAAAGGCATCTGCTTGTGTTTGCTTAAAACAAAAGGGTGGTTGATTTAATGAATTATTTACAGGCATGCAATATGGCAACAATGTCATTATGAACTCTCTTCTAAGGTCTCCTCTGGCTACTCCTGGCAGGGTGTCAATTTGCTTGTTTTTATGGTAGGTGCACGAAATTGTAAAGCTATTCAGAGAAATGAGATTTTACCATCGGACTTACTAATGCACACAAACCCAGTAAGAAAGCCCCGGTGACAAGAATGGCAAAACATTTATTCGGCATTAACAATGTGTAATGTGGAGTTTGAGTAAAGAAAGAACCATTAGAATTACATAAAGCTGAAAGCAGCGTTGAAAATGGGCTTAAAAAAAATCAGGACAGACCTATGAGAGGAGCTGAAGAGGAAAAAAAAGTACACTCTGTGACCTCTTTCTTCTTCCTGCCATATATACTACCTATCAGTATCTATATGATAAGGAATTATTGGGAGTGTTTATGTATTTGCACCCGGTGATGAAATATAAGAAATTAAATGAACTTTGCTGTTCATAAAAAATGAAACAAAAGGCTTACAAAGAAAAGTCATAAATACGAAGTAATTTGACAGATTTAAAATCTAATTATTTTATTTGGCATCATCCTACCAATCCCAAATTTTCTAAAACCGCCTTCTATTAAGCCAGTGTACCTAGAGTCTAAACAGACAATGTATGAAGGCAAGTGGCTGTTAGTCGGAAGCATGTCAGAATCCAGTGGAGGCCAAAAAACCAAAATCCCATAGAGATTTTAAACTACTTTCACATAAAAACCACATGTAATTTGGAACAATTTCTTTACTCTAATCAGTGATCAATGATATTGTCTGACAGAGTGATTTGATTGTACTAAAATTTCGTTTTTATAAAAAAATGAAGAGAAGATGTTTGTAAACTAAAACCAGATACTACTGGTAATTTCTTCTGCACGAGCCTACAATGCCAGTCCTAGAATACAGGGAAGGAGCTCTGAAGAGAGCGAGTAGGAGTTGTAGCTCTGTATTCATTCTTCCGAAACTATTTGGCGATCATCTCTGCTAGGCCTGGGAAATGCAGTGGTGAAAGACATCAATATTTTCCTTGTTCAAGAGCATTATAATATGATGGGGAATTTTCATTTGAAGATTTGATGGGCTTTCTATGTTAGAGGTTTTGGTAGAGAACCAGTATTTTTAGCTTAAAATGTTTATTACACTCTGAGGGTCATAATAGTTTAAAGCTATCATTTCATATTTGAATCAAAGACACCAAAAGATAATTATAGTAGATTTTCATATTAACTGTTTCAAAGACAAACTCTTAAATGCTAACGAGAAGTGAACAAAGTGTAAAAGAGTATGATTTATGCTTAATGCTTGAGCTACATACCCTCTCTTGATGGTCTGAATAACAGTGGTATGATTTTATTGTGAAAATCATAGCCAAGGAAAAGGTGCCTCTGGTGAATTCGCAGGGCCAGCATATAAATGCAAATTGTAGCTGCAGCATTTTCCATTTTGAAGATGGAAGAAAATCAGGAAAATCATCCCCTTTCCCACAGCGAGTAATGCCGTCTCTGACTGACATGGCTTTGAGACTCTGATCAAAGAAAGTAAGAAATTAGCAACCATCAGACCACTGGGTAGGACTGATTAATTTTCTCTGGCTCTAGTCACAGATCAAATTCACCAGAATATTGCCAAAATACATTTGCCCTTCCTTAGTCCTAGATAAAAATTTGACACCGGGGTTGCCAAATCTAGTGGGCTTATCTTTTTATGGTTCCTGTAGTCATGTTACTTTTGTACTCTGAGAGCAGCAGGGTAGAAAGGGCTAAGAGCATGGGCTCTGACTTCCAGAAGTCCGGGGTGTGAGTCTTGACCCTTGCCATGTATGAACTATACAGCTTTGGACAAGCTGTTTAATATTTCTGAGCTCCTGTGTTTTCATTAGGAAATTTGGAAAATAGCAATTACTATTATAAAAATACCTAAATAATAGATTGACATTAAGTTTAACTAAGATAATTAATGTAACAACTCTTAGTCTAAAAAGTGTAATACAAGCTCACAAATATTAGACTTTTATTTTTATTTTAAATGTTCTAGTTTCCCTACCAATATCCAACCCCTGGCAATCTTTTAATACTGAGTCACCATAGCAATTTGTAAGTAAGCCATATGAGACCCCAAGTCTACCAGTTGCATGCCTGGGAACCATCACACAAGAGAAAGGCAGAAGAATGGCATTTGAAAATTAAATCAAATTTTCATGTGCTGACTATAAACTCTAACTTCTATGAAGAACTGAAGGATTTATCCCTCTATTTGCATTAATTCCACCCCCAACCAGTGAGAACTGTGATATATGCATCAAGGGCAAGGGCAACAGGGCCACCCCACTCCAGGGCACCTCGCAAAGAAAGAGGTCAAGGGCTCTTCCTGCTGGAAGAGTACTCTTTAGACTGGTTTCCTTCAGGATTTATTTTCTCTTTGGAATATGTGCATTTTCTTCTTCAAATTTCTTCATGTTAGTTTGTCCCTCCTTCTCTCCTAAGCTACAAGTAAGGGACTTAACATTGTCTCTTGTTTGGGAAGAGTTTCTGAAATGGGAGATTCACAACTCAGATGGGATCCACGGGAAAGAAACAAGGGAAGCTGTGCTCTAGGGGGAAGGACTTTTCCATGCATAGGATTTTCACTTTACTATGTGGTTATGGCTCAAGGACAAAAACCAAGGAAGAGAGGCCAATGGGATCTGTGTTCCTTTAGCCAGCAAGGTAGGAGACCACAAAGGGTCCAGAGACTCTAGAATTAATTAAGAGTTCACTCACTGAGAGGATCTCTTCTGCAGTAGCTATTTTTCAGAAATATCTGGGTGTGGTATTCAGTGATGAAGGGTTCCAGGATTCTAATTCTTTTAACATACTCTGGAGTATGAGGGAACAGAATTGATGTTTATTATCAATAGTAAGAAATGCCATTTAATTAAACTCTTTTTGGAAAATCAAATTTGACTTATATCTTGCTCATTTAACTTCACTGTTTTTACTGGCTTGACAAAACAATGCTATTAATAATACCTGTCATATAAGGCCTATAATCAGCAAAAAAACAAGAAGTGAGGAATCAAATATACATTTTTTCTGACTCCCTTATAGTTAATCTCAATTTCATATTTATTTTATATTTTTGAAAGAAATAAATTTCAAAACAACCTATTCAAAATGTTTTATAAACCATTGTAATGCTTTTTATTTATATAGGTTATACATTATTATTTTTAAAGGATTATACTTTAAAGTATGAAGTAAAAACAAATATATTATTGTATACAATTAAAACAATAATAATCCCAAGTTATTATTATTTCAATTTAACAGATAAATGAGCTGATACTTGGAGAAGTTTTAGCTTGTGTAAGATCCCAAAGTTAATAAGTGATAGAATTAGGAAATGAACCCAGGTGCCCTGAGACAAAGTTTTCAATATTTTTTGATTACACTGCAGTTGACTTTTTGCTATAGGATCCAGGTAGTGAGGAATATTGTATCCCAAAATAGAAAAATAAGTTTGTATCAACTAATTTTTAGCAGTAGAATGCAGTCCTCATGTGAAATATCATGCATAAAATGAATAAAATTATGTGGGTGAGCATCTGCTTGATCCCCTCATCTTGCAGAGGCTCTGAGATGCTTCAACTAAATCCAACGGGCTTCCTGCAATGTGGTTTGAAGACATTTAGTGCCTAGCTCTATCTCATCACCTTTGTGCATACTCATGTGTGGGCAGGCTGGCTATATAGTTTGTGAGGTCCACTGTGAAATGGAAATGTGGGGCCCCATGTTTGAAATTATTAAGAATTTCAAGATGATGACAACAGAACCAAGCGTGGGCCTTTGTGAGCGCAAGGCTCTGTGCAATTGGATCGGTCACATGCCTGTGAAGCTGGACCTGTTTGTGGACCAGGATTTACCTTCAAACCCCTTTGCTAAATAGTGCCTAGACCAGGATCTTCATCTTTTATCAGTGATCCTTACCTTTCCCTAATTCATTCTCCTATTCATATGTATATTGGGGAAAAGTCACTGAAACAGTTAAAATTATATTGTGATAGAGGCGGCAGAAAGGAGAGTTATATGTGTTCATATCCATGTCTTCTGAGTTTCATTCTCTGGGGGTCATTTTGGAGAAGAGGAGTAACTTTAAATAACTTGAAAGGACTGTTGCAGGTAGTCATTTCTTCCCTTTATTTGTATTTGGGATTCTAGGAGGACACTTTCTTATTTCATTCAAGGATAGATCACATCAACCCGGTGCTGCACCAAGTCCAGGCAGGGGGAGTCCTTAACATTTAGTTTTCCGCTGCTTCTCTTGGTTTCTAAGTTGTGTAGACAGAACATATAGTAGCAGAGAGAGAGAGTTTGATTGAAGAAGGGGCTAGAGGGATTGCTGGTGTGGGGTAAGATGGCTCTCTGGCAAGGGCAACTGTGGGAATAACCAAGACTGGGCTGAATAGAAGTCATAGCCACACCTTACAGAAGTCTGTGGAAAATGCACAAACCCAAATAAGATCAAAACCACCAGAGAGTGGTAATAGGCCCCGACTGAACTAAGTCAAGGTGGTAAGTTACCCCAGCCACAGAATTCAGCTGTGAACACCTTCAGGACCAGCAGCACATGGATGCACAAGTGACAAATTGCTTGGGGACAAGGGCTCTGCTTCTTTCCCACTCACTCCTGGAAGCTCTCAGAGGCTGTACCTGTCAGCGAAGGGCGGGGGTTGGGGTGGTGGTGGAAACAACCTCTGAGCAAAACATGCTGACTCCAAAGACTAAACTCTGTGCAAATGGGCTGTTTAAATGATCAGAATAGATTGTACTTTAGACAGGATTTGACGTTCAGCAAGTTTTTTTCCTGTTGAACATTAGGCTGGAGTTGGGAAGTTGGTGAGCAGAGTGTGCATAGTGACAGGGCCGAAAGCTTAAATAGTTTAAGACAAAATGAAGTATTTATGTTTTCTTTGCATATCTGAGTTTTGCTATGAGTTAAATTTGGTGAGTCGGCTACATGTGATTAAAAGAAAAATAAAGCAAACAATTTCAAACTGTCTGCTAAAATTCCATACACCCCAGGACTCTCTCATGTGGGAAAATCTGGCGAGGAAAGATTTTTCAAGATTTGATATTACTCCCTATATTTATCCAGTGGCACCCTGTTTTTTCAAAGTATAATTTTCCCACCTCTCTTCTTGCGAAATATAACACATAAGACAGCAAAGTGCATTAAACAGTGCCAGGTTTTTCGTGTTTTCTTCCCAGCAGTGCCCTGGAAAACTGAGCCTGCCAAGAACAATGTCAGAAACATCAATTGACTACAGTGACAACAACATACCCAGAAGGCAGGTTGTCTGACAATAAAGTTGCCAAAAAAGAAATTGCTGTACCTGTGGAGACTTTTAGTAGTTCCACGGAGGTGGTCCATAACCAATAATAAAGGCAGCACAGAGCAGCCAGGCATTCTTTTTTAACCCATTGGGAGCTTCCTGAGGATTCTCAGACATTTGGCTTTGCTGGGTCATCAGGAAAGATACAAGTCTTACCTATAGAACAATGAACATTTTACTGAGAAAACAACGATAGCCATGAAGCACTTCCTTCCTCAGCCCATCTTTAAATTTCATTTTGGCCAATGATTGCAACTCAATCTTTTCCGGTAAATTGGCTACCAGATATAATTGCATAAGTAGAAAACAGCTAAGCATAAGTAGGAGAGCTGTCGGTGGCTCTCCCTTCGTGTAGTAGTTTTGCATTTATGCTAGATTGCTTTAACCATCTTTTCTAACCAATGCTTGAGTGCAGCAAAATGGCCAACCATGTAAGCAGTAGTAAGAGGGTCTAAGCTTGAATATTTCAGAGCTTAACTGTAAAATGAGTGTGTAGTTTCTGGATGGGCTAGAAAATTTAAGTCATAGATTACATCTGTGTCCAGGGGACTTGCCAAAGTATTCTTTGTATTAGGCTGAGTTGGGAAGTTGGTGAGCAGAGTGTGCATAGTGACAGGGCCGAAAGCTTAAATAGTTTAAGACAAAATGAAGTATTTATGTTTTCTTTGCATATCTGAGTTTTGCTATGAGTTAAATTTGGTGAGTCGGCTACTTGTGATTAAAAGAAAAATAAAGCAAAGCTGGGGAAAGGCTGAAAGCATGGAAGGCAAGAATAGAGATGAGATGTAAAGGTCCTGAGATAGATGATAAAAGTTTGGGTGAGACCCTGTCCAGCTCTTGAGGTGATGCTGACTTGCAGATTTTTTTTCTTTTTCTTTATCTTTGAAGTCTACTTGTACAAGAGAGGAAATGAGGAGAAAATGGCATAGACTTCATGATCTTATCACCTGGTGAAGTATCAAGATCTGTGTGTGTTCAAGTGTGCTACACACTTGCAAATAACCCAGGGCTTGATCTGCTATTATACTGATGATGCAGTAGTTTTTCCTACCAGACAACCTATATAAGCTCATTTTAGGCAGAAATATGGTTTAAGTTAGGGCCCTAACAGGATGGCACATGCAAACTAGGATTGTTCAAGGAGGGTCAAATAAAGGAAGTGTACAGAAAAGGGCAGGCAAGGTGAAAGAAGACTGGAGGGGGTGGTGCAGCACCCCGGGATAAATAGAGGGGCTGTTACCACCCTAAGCTCGAAGAAAGCCTGAGGAGGAAAATCCTGCAGAGAGGCTTAGTGGCCCCTCACAGACACTAGACAGAGGAGGGTGGGCCAAAGAAGGAGAGACAGTTCTCTTTTCCCTTCCTTGGCTCTTCTGCCAGGCGTCCCCATGGGCAGAGTTCAATAGGAAGCCAGAGGGCTCAGGAGTCCTGAGTGCCTCGCTGAGCTGAGAGCAGGGTTGAGAAGGGCTGAGAGTGGATCTAGGAGTAGCAAACTGAGGATTCCTAGCATAGATATGTCACACTTTTTCTTTTAAATCCATAGCACCTGGCTTGATGGGTATCAGCAACCAGCTGTTTGATTAAGAGAATGCTCTTGGCAGCTCAGTGTCCCTTCTTCCTTATATGTATAGTAGTGATGCACTGGCCTACTTCCAGTCCCCACAGGAAGGGAGTGGTTTATATCTGTTTGAGGTGCCCTAAAAGTACCTGACTACAGGAATGATTTTAAAATATAATTTAAACTGAAGCAATAATAGATCCCTAAAAGCTCTGATCAAGAGTCCTAAATAAATTCACCTTCTGTAATTGCCAGTACATGTCTATGTCCTAAACTTTATGGACCAACTCCAGCATCCTGGAGTTTACATCCCTCCTTGATCAATCTTCAGTAAGGAATTTACTTCTCTAATAACATACTTCTCAACATCAGGCAGGTCCCGGAATGACCATCAAACAGAGGCAATGTGAACAGCTGGGAGTATCTGATGGTAGTAAACACAGATGTGCCTGCCAGGACATTAACTGCTTAGCAGGTTGACGTAACTGACTTCCCTATGTTCAACAAAGCTTTGTAGTCCCTGAGATGCTACTGCCTGGGTTTAATGATTGCCATGTTCCCCATCCACTCTTTGGCGAAGGAGTTTCTGCAGCATTTGATGCAGTGCTTCAGCTCAGTGTTAATTATGAGATCAGCTCAATGCCTGTGATTTAGAGGCTAGACTCAGAACCCTTTCAGTAATTCAGTTCCCGTAAGTCTGTGTTATTGGCTCCTGAATGCACTTGCTTAAGCTAATTAAAAAATAAGCTGAAGAAATTCATTTCTTATGCAAAATTAAATCTGGTGTACACGCTGAATATTGCACCTTGTCATGTTCATTTCTAGCTCAATTCTGCCTTTTACTGCACACTTTGCAGCTTGAGAATTACCATTTAAAGCAAATGTTTGGATTTTGAAGAAACAGATTTGGCCCTTTTGAAAATGTTTGGCTGTAAAACAACTTTGATATAAAGTATCAAAATAAAAAAATATTCTTAATGTTTCTTTTGTGGCATTATCAGTCAACCGACATCATCATGAGGCTGACATATTGATAGTCTAATGGTGAAATGGGAATCATCCTTCAAATAACATGTCCTTTGCATTAGAAAATAGCATTGGTGGACCTGATAGGCATGAGATATCAGCATTGATAACTTGATGAATGGGGACTGTGATCTCTACCCTGTCCTCCCCAGTCTACCTAATACCAACGTCATGGATATATTTGCAGTGCAGGTTGATAAAATTAAGAGCAGGCTTTTGCAAGAAACAAAGCTTTGTTAGCTTTTTAATCCGATCAAACAAATACATAAAACAAATAAACAAAAAAGCCACCCAGTTTCAGACTATATGTGTCTGTTTATATGTAGGATTCCAGATTTGATGAAGAAAAATCTTAGGGCGTGGTCTATCACTAACATCTGTAATCTGCACCAACTGTCTTGCAAATGCATTCTTCAAACAGGGGGTATGCTGATCAGTGAAATATATCACTGCTCCAGAAAATTTTCTGAATAGCCTCAAGTGACTGTTGGTGGGTGAAGAGTGCCACTGCCATATAAAGCACTTGGCAAAGACCTTGAACAACTTGAGCACTACTAGAGAATTGCTACAGTCAGGAAGGCAAGTTGGTTTTATCTCTTGGCTATTCTGATTATTCAAAGCAGTTATCTGGAGCAATGTTCTGACAAGGACTGTCAGATAAGCCCCAGGTTCATGGAAAGAGGGAGGGTTGGCTTGGTGATGCTGGAGGTTGGAATATTGTGTCATCCTTTCATCTGTCAGCCTTTACTCTGCTTTCCAGGCACCGAGGTGAGCCAGTGTATCTTAAAGTGTAATTGTGTGCCTCACAGATTGCATATGTGATGATTTTATTACAATGATTGTTTACGTATAATATATGTGTCTATATAATTGATTTATACAGAGTAAAATTTAACAAGCACACAAAATTCTGAAGGAATTCACAGGATTTGGCTAAGTACAATAAACAATTTAACTTAATGTCTATTTAAAGAAAAATATCTAAGTTCATAGGAGAGATGATAAATAACTGGCAAAAATCCTACAGTTAGAACGTAGGTTGGTGCAAAAGCAATTGTGGTTTTTGCTATTGCTTTTGATGGCAAAAACCGCAATTAATTTTGCACCAACCTAATAAATTAGTTTAGGAAAATTATGTTAAATTATAGGGATGCAGAGATAAATATATACTGGTCTCTACCCTTGAAAAAACTTGCATTCTTTTTCTTGTTCTTCTTGGATTCCATCCAAGTTTCACTCTTACATTAATGTCAGCTATAGTTTTGAGATGAGTCAGCTTAATCAACTACTGGCTTTCTTTGGATGTGAATGATATGGTAGCTCTTTAAATCCTGAATGTTGTGAGTACCTTGGAAGAGAAGCAAGGTAACTTCTGCACCTCGTCCAATAATCAGTTTACTTGGGGGATTTGTCATCAGTCCTCAGAGAAGTGAGTCACAGCAGTTACCATCTTCGGGCACTTTCAGCAGGCCACAGCAATAAGTTACTGATACACACTGGAAATTTTAACTATTTACTAGTTTGGAATACTTCAGTCAACCCATCAAGTTACTCCTCCCATTGGGGAAAGTAAATTAAGATCAGAAGTTTGGGACGAAATTGTGGCTTATGCCTGTAATTCTAGCACTTTGGGATGCCGAGGCAGGAGGATTACTTGAGTCCAGGAATTCAAAGCCAGCCTAGGCAACGTAGCAAGACCCTGTCTCTAAAAAATAAAAATAAAAAAGTTAGCCAGGCATAGTGGTATATGCTTGTAGTCCCAGCTACTCAGCAGGCTGAGGTGGGAGGTGGAACCTGGGAGGTGGACGTTGCAGTGAGCCGTGATAGCACTGCTACACTTCAGCCTAAGTGATAGAGTGAGATCCTGTCTCTGAAAAAAGAAAAAAAAAAAAAACAGATAGGTGCCCGCTTGGTGATTAATGTATCAAACCCAAAGGAGATGAATGATTTACAAGTTTGGTTCCAAAACCTCTTTTAGAAGTCAATCAGTTGTTTAATTTGAAATTCTCATTCTCTCTCTTTATATATATATATATACTTTTTTCTCTCCTACCAACTGGAGTTTATGATATAGTTATTTACTCAGGTTAAACTAAAAAATAATTCCTTCTTTTTGGGAAAGAAATATAGTTGTACATAGAGAGTTTAACCTCTGTTGTTTATTCTACCAAAGTAATTCTTTAAAAATAATAGTAGTTAGTAATGGTGATGTGCTTAAATGATAAGAGTTAACTCAATTTCAGCTGCTCCTCCAGACCTTGGCTATTGTGGGTATGCTGGTCCAAAAGGGAAGGTATGTGGTCCATAGGTAGAGGTTGGTGAAAAGATGGGCTGGGATGCTACTAATGAGACCAGTGTGGAGGAGGGGATGGAGGGGCAGTTATAGTGCAGTTATAGTGCTGAAGGTCCAAGCCCTAACCCTTCTTTGATCTCTTAGAAGCCAGCAATTGGGTGGGAGATAAGGATGCAAAGGATGCTGACCTAGGCATTAAGAGGTCATTTTGAAAGGAAAAACAAACAGGCAGGATATCCTAGTGAAGGAAATCTGGGCCAAGACGTCAGTTCCTGGGGCTAGATAAAGATATTCTGAGTCTTTAAACACAAAAGTAAGCACTTGCCCCTTCACTCCGAAACATACGATGTGTTCTTCAACATAAGGGCAAGAGTAATGTGTACAACATATTATTTAGGTTGGTGCGAAAGTAATTGTGGTCTTTGCCATTAAAAGTAATGGCAAAAAATGCAATTACTTTTGCACCAACCCAATACATACTACAGTTCCCAAAAAGTTGTTTTTTTTATGATTACTACATCAATTTTTAAAAATATATAGATATATAAATGATTTTCCAAAAACACATATGCTTAGTTTGACTCTTAGGTATTCAATAATGCTAGTCTGTAAGTATTTGAGATAGCTGTGAGCATTCAGAATTCAGGTGATTCAGCTCTGTGAGGATAAGGTCTGCCCACTGGTCATCACGGCATGCCAACCTGGCACGGTGTTCTCAGCATTGATGGAACTAATAAATATGTGTAGACGGACAGATTGACAGATGAAATAGATCTTGTATAGAGAACTTTTACTGACTCATATCTGTTAGGTTGGGAGTGGAGATGGAAGGGGATATGCTGTCCAATTCACTGCTAGGGCCAGAAGGTCAGTAATGCATCCTATTTTCCATAGCTTTTGATTTTGTTTAGGTTTCCCGCTTTAGGAATATCTATATTATTTTCTGATATCAGTCCCTAATTGCCAGGTGGCTACCTTTTCTTAAAGTAATTTTAATTGGGCTGTGTCTGGTATTTACTTTCTCTTTTGCCTCTTTCTCTTCCCAGTTACTTGGCTGGCTCTGTGAGGAGGGCAGATACGGCTAATTTACAGCTGCGTTACCAGAGCCTGATCCAGAGAGTAGATGGTCAATATATATTTGTTGCATAAATGGATAGTGGCTGTCTCCTTATTTCTTTCTCTTTTTTTCTTCATCAGAGCTCTCTAAATAAGGTGACCATAAAGTTTGTCCTTGAAACCAGGACTTTACAGTGAAAGGAAGTGCTGTTGACTGTTATGCCAGGACAAGGGCATAATCTGGGATTCTTCCACCCAAGCTGAGGGATATCATCATTTATCACTAAAGATTTTTTTTTCCCCTGGGGCTTTCTTAAAGATTGATGGAAATGGGCAAACCAATTTTAGATAATAGGTATTAGGGATCTTGCAAATTTTGTTCTTGCCTTTATAGCAAATAGCTAATGAGTTGTTAATGATTCTTGCCTGTCTCCTCAGAACTCTGTAACAAGTTCTCTCTCTGGTAATTTATTCCTGGTTTTGCTAGTTTGTTTTCATTGCTCTTAAGGATTCCTTGTTATTAGAACTGGCTTTCTGGATGACTTAGAATTTCCTGATCCTAACAATTTTGCTACCTGGTTCTCATTTCCTCATCATCCTGCCTACTTATTGTTGACTTTCTGTCTCAGGCTCTTGTCTGAGTTTATTATTTGGCTTCTGCCATTCTCTTCAGCTCCTCTTTGAAGCTCCTGCTGGTAACTTCCAGCCTGCTCTTAAGAAACACCAGGCATCATCAATGTAGATGAGTCAGCCTGCATTTTGGCTGTCACTCTCACCTTTCAGAAGTGACATGAAGGCCTCCTAGCTGCCCTTTCTGCCTTATACCTGCACTTAATCTGGACTTGAACTTAGGGATCCTCACCCTAGCCTTCAAAAGGAATGCAGCCCCATACTTATCAGGTAAGGTGGCTTTCTTTGTCTTTGCTACACATTGTGCACCAGAAACAGGAAAAAAAATTCCACTGTATTGTGCAGTATGGATTATTAGGGAAATTTGTAAGCAAGGATCATGAAGAAGAGAAAAGCCCTACAGTCTCCTCCCTCTCAGCAGTTTATTGAGTGCTCTAGACAGCCCAGGCAATCTGTTGGGTGCACAGGGACTTACTCCAGTTGTTCTCTATCCTTACAGGATAGGCATGAGAGTATCATTATCAGTGTGGGTACAAAAAGAGTAGGAATGTGCCAGGCGGTTTGAGTTTACATCACAGCTATTTACAGGAGTTGTCTGGGAGAGCTAGCTTCTAGACCTAGGGATCTCTGTGGCCATGAGAAGTTGCCATCAATCCTGCTGGGAAGTGGAATCCCTTGGATCTGTGGGATGTTGAGTTGTGAGCACTGCTTAAAACAAAACAAAACAAACAAACCAAAACAAAACAGCTGTAGATGCTGTGTTATTCACATTCTATTTCCATCATGCTATTCACAGAATCAGTCAGCATGACTATAACTCATCAGTGTCAAATAAAAATGCAAGTAAATCTAAATGATTTCAATCTGAAAAACACATTCAGGAGATAGGCCTTCTTATTGTTTTATTGAAAGGAAACTCCATTGCTTTCTTGATTCTCTTTTATTGGAGGTGGTGATAAAAGTAAAATGGAAGTGAAAGATGCTAAATAGATTAGAGGTACCTTACTCAATGACAAAAAACAAGACATATAAATAGAAATATTAATCAATGCTCTGAGCTTAGTTCAGGTACTAAGCTGTGTAATACATCCCACAGCTTAATTATTATTTTTATGGACATAGTGGCCCAGTGTACCCCAGGCAGTTGCATCAATAAAATCTGCTTGAGTGGGTTCAGCACAGGGCTGTGCTACTTTTCTGCCAGGAGAACAGCTTTGGATTTATGTTAGATTCATGCTAACAGTTTGAGCAGTGTGTCCTGGATCTTCTTTGTTTTAAACACACAGTTGAAGACACCTGCATTCAGTTTCAAGTAGGACCTTAGTTTTGTTCTGGAGATGTACCTGTTCACAACGACAAAAAAAAAAAAAAAAAAAAGGATTCAATTGAAGTGAGCCATGCGATGCTACATAAAAATCAAACTTGCTGCAAAAATAAATTGCCTGAAACAAATGCTTTCATCAGAAATGTCACTACTGAACAAGAAATAAAAAGAGATTTTTTTTTCTCTTGGCAGAGAGTAGCAGATTACAAAGATTTTTTTTGTATCCTCATATTAAATTTTAAATACATCTTTTTTACAGAGAATTAGCATTTTTTAGGGCACATAAAGAAAGCAGATCAAGATCTCTCTCTTCTGGCAATGAATCTTTACAAAAATAACTTACTTTAATGTAGCCATACTTCGGAGGAAAAAAAAATTATGGGGCGATCATGCTAGAGAGTTTCTTTTTCCCTCTGGGTTGTCGTATTATAATATTACTAATTATATTATAGTCTCCTACTTGGTGAAATTGGCTACTTCACGTTCCAAACATGATAAAGTAAATGTCCATAGGTCTTCAAGAACTTAAGAAGAATAGAGAAAAGCCAAGGAACTCTGACCTCAACCTTCTCTAAAATATTCTTTCTATGTACACCCCAAAGACATGATCACATTTATTTCCCTGAAACAGAATTCTGGCTGTAATTGCCATTTATTTCCCTGAAACAGAATTCTGGCTGTAATTGCCAGGTTCGAAATACCAACACAACCAGGGAAACAAGTTTGAAAAAAAATTTTAACCCTACATTCAGTATTGTTTTACCATTTCCTTTCTATAAATGTTTAATCAAATTTATTCAGAGAGACAGAAGATTTTGATTTTCATCCCTCCAGCTTTTCTCTGATATGTGTTTCTACACATACAGGGTTTCAGTAGATGCGATTTTAAAAATATAATATCAAGTGAACTATACATGAAAAAATTTTACAAAGAAATGCGGTGGTAATTTTGTGCCAGAGCCATATCTGTGAAAAATGTTCAACCATACAAATGTTAACTCTGAAAAAATTTTAAATATTGGGATGTTTTGTCTATACTGTGCTAACCAGCCCCATGGTTTGAGTATATGGCTATTCACCCTGTGGAGACAAAGCAGATGGATAATTGGCAGCATCATTCATTTTTCTTTAATCTGGATATTCTGCCATCCTGTTGGCAACACCTTTCACCAGCATTTAACAGTCGATACTGGATATAAACTTTAGATCAATATAGTTACATTTGGTAGTTTTCTCTGAAAAACTCCTGTTTTTTTTTTTTTTTTTTTTTTTTTTTGACACAGGGTCTCACTCTGTGGCTCAGGCTGGAGTGCAGGGCCGTGATCATGGCTCACAGCCTTAACCTCCCGGGCTCAAGTGATTCTCCTACTTTAGCCTCCCAAGTAGCTGGGATTACAGGTGCACGCCACCACACTGAGCTAATTTTGTATTTTTTGTAGAAACGGGGTTTTGCCATGTTGCCCAGGCTGGTCTTGAACTCCTGAGCACAAGCAATCCACCCACCTTGGCCTCCCAAAGTGCTGGGATTACAGGCATGAGCCACCACACCTGGTACTGATTTTTAAACTTCCTGAATATTTACCCATAAGTATTCTGAATAAGTAACTATTCTGACATTGTTGAGTAGCTTATGATGTACTGCTAATATGCTGTTAATAGAGAAAGCAAGCTATAATGCACATACATACATATGTATGCCTACATAGAACACTGTGGGTTTTTTCATTTCATATATAAATCTTATTCCATTAATTAGCTTATATATTAATAACTGATGAGTCTTTGACATGTAAATAAATAAATAGGTAAATACATACATACATGCATAGCCTAAAATTTCACTGTGATACAATTTAATTTCGAGTGTTCTTTTTGGAGTATACAAAAAAATTCCATACCTCAGGCTTATTTGAAATGTACTATTTGTTAGGTGACAGTATCTTCATATAATTTTCAAATTCTGAAGAATTATAGCTTGAGAGATTCTTTTATTCTTCCACAGTAATGACATGCATCACTTAACAGCAGGAATTTTAAACTACGTGTATTTCTTTGCATTTCTTCACAAGCTCCAACTTAAAATATTATTGTGACAATAAATATCTTTGCTTCAAGGATCCTGCATAAAATGTAAGAGCTTTTAACATGGAATAAATAAATGCATTGTTCTCTGAGATTAGGTCAGTGTCTTTGAAATACACTGTATTAGAATGTTAATTGAGTTTGACATAAGCATGGATATAAAATGCATCATGCCACTCAACTTACCAGCAGTGAAACTGATTACCAATTCTAATCGTTGTCTGCATGGTGACAGCATACTGAGATGGAGATGTTGAATATTTTAGTTTGTGATATTATCATGGTTGTTTAAAGTACTGACTACGTGTTTTGAAACCAATAGAAGTAATTGGTATGCATGTAGGAACTAGCAGGCTGAGCACATCATTTATTTATAGAGCCTTTTGATGTAACTCTTTGGGGGAAAAAGTTAATAAAACATGGCTCAAAGATAAATTTACACTCACCACTATAATGTGACATACAGCACAAATTATTGTACAAAAAACCCTGTTTTCTGGTGAGGCATGTTCTTTATCTCTTTTTAAGCCATTTTGCCAAGGCAAGAAGGAAAGGACTGGAGGAAATAAGAGGTATACCGGTATTATTAATTATTTTAAATTTTTCTGAAGCAACTTGTGACAATAAAAATCCATGTGCCAACAGAGGGAAGTCATGGGTATGATATAGCCTTCCTATTTTCTCACGTAAAACAGGTTATGTTCTCAAAGGGTGGGTGACTTGTTCACCAACAAGTAGGTATTAGAAGCTGAGAAGGACTAGCAACATATTTGGGAACCAACATGGTGGCCTCCTTTGAAAAGCCAGATGTACAGGAAGGTCCTCCTGTACACACCCCTCTGCAGGGAGGACACTGACATGCTCGGTCTCTATTCAAAACGGAGAACCATGTATTTTTACAACAATATTGACTCAATGTCTAATTGTGGTCAGAGAACTGCTAACTCCCAACTTGATTTGCCTCAGGCAGAATCAAATCTTAAAACAGTAAGCTGGAGAAATATTAAACTGCTGACAAGATGAAAAATGTGCCAAGAGTGGTGATGTGGGCAGAGGTGGAAAGAGCATGAAGGAGCAAAGATGCTATACACACACAATTATCTATGTCATGTGACTGCCTGTCTCCAGTGCGTATACACTTGCTCATAATCATTGGAGACCAAATAAAGCAATGGTTATGGGACTGGCCCGAAAATCAAGAGCTGGGTTTTGACTTTTTTTTAACTGACAACTGTGCAATCTTAGGTAGGGATTTTAATCCTTCCAGGCCTACTTTTCCGTATCTTGAACAGTTTCTCACTCTCTTTTTAAGTCAGTGGTTTCACAATGCCTTCTCTTAGGAATGTTTTTGAAAGGGGAAATTTTAGACCTAAAAAGTAGAAACAATTCATTAGAACTTTTATGAAGGAGCTATTTTTATAAACAAGCACAGTTTTTCATCAAATTTTGCCATTAATATTTTGTTATCAATATTTATTGACCACAATTATCTTTCTTCAAATGGGAACCTGTATTCCAGTTGGTGGATTTTCATAGGTGTAAAAATATCTTTTATTGATTTATTTTCCCTAGAGGGCACTTTGAAAATTTATTTTGGGCCAGGCACAGTGGCTCATGCCTGTAATCCTAGCACTTTGGGAGGCCAAGATGGGTGGATCACCTGAGGTCAGGAGTTAGAGACCAGCCTGGCCAATATGGCAAAATCCTGTCTCTACTAAAAATACAAAAATTAGCCAGGTGTGGTGGTGCATGCCTGTAATCCCAGCTACTTGGGAGGCTGAGGAAGGAGAATCACTTGAACCTGGGAGGTGGAGGTTGCAGTGAACCGAGATCACACCACTGCCCTCCAGCCTACATGACGGGAGTGACACTCCTTCTCAAAAAAAATAATTAGAAAAAAAGGAAAAGAAAATTTAATCTGAACAATAAGCACTGTTTATGGATAGTTGATAAGACATGACCAGACTCGCTTAGACCCAATGATGATGAAGGAAATAGAACACAGAAATATGTAAGCAGGTACATCAAGAACTTCTTTTTATGGTATTACGTCCTCCTCTAGAGTAGTAAACCCACAGCTCAAGACTCCTAAGACTGGTGATTTATTTACTCCTTCTGGGCTCCATTGACCAAAGAACTTTTGAGTGTGTTTTTCTGTAAGTAATGAAGAAAGTAATGGGCAGCTGAGTCTACTCATTTGTATTCACATCTGGTATAAATCCTTTCTACTGCTCATTGCTGTCGGTTGTATATCTATGAAAGAGCAACAATGAACAAAATCTGAGTCTTGGTCCTTGTATTATTTATCTAATGCTATGTAGAAAAATACTGTTGTCTAAATAATAATTTGCACAGAGCCTACCTGGGATGACTTGTCTCTGGTCGAAGAGGGGTTGGCTAGGCTTATACATACATTTGCAGTCCTACCAGTTACATTAGCTGGTAACTGACTGGTCCCAGATGGCCTCATTTGTATGTTTGGCAGTTATTAGAGCTGTTTTCCAGAGTGAGTCTACTCTTTTCTACATGGCTTCTCTAGCAGGCTACCATGGGCTTCCTCACGTGGCCACTAGATTTTAAGGAGATGAGAGCAGAAACTATTAAGACATTCTAAGACCTGAGCAAAAATTGCACAATATCACTTCTGCCACATACTATTGATGAATGTAAATCACAAAGACAGCCCAGGTCCAATTGGTGGGAAAGGAGGCTCTATCTCTCAACGGGATGAGCTGTATAGTCTGTTTACCTTGCCTGGACTTTACCCACGGAGCTCCATTGTTAATGCTTCAGGTATTTATTTTAGCACACTCCACTTCTGATTACAATTTCTGTGTAAGGAGTCTATCGTGATATAAAGAAATACCCAAAGACTTAGTGGAAAAATATAATATTCATTTATTTTTGTCATAATTGATTGACCATTGAGAAGGCCTATATATATATATACACACACACATGTATGTATAATATACACACATACGTATAATTGGCTGAGTTTACATATGCAGTTATGGTCAGTTGCCAGGTAGATGGGAGGGGGCTGTCCTGGATGGTCTTGCTCATATCTAGCTAGTGGCTGGACTGTTAAACAGGGTACCTTGATTTTCTCCTTGTAGGTTAGCTCAGCTTCTTCATACAGTAACTAATTTTTATTTTGTAAATTTAATTTTATTTTAGACTCTGGGTACATGTGCAGGTTTGTTACATGAACATATTGTGTAATGGTGGAGTTTGGGCTTCTAGTGTGCACATAACCCAAACGGCGACTTTTGTACCCAATAGGTAATTTTTCAACCCTCACCTCCCTCTCAATCTGCCCCTTTTTGGAATCCCCAGTCTCTATTGTTTCCATATTTATGTCCATATATTTCCATTGTTGAGCTCCCACTTTTTTTTATTATACTTTATGTTCTAGGGTACATGTGCACAACGTGCAGGTTTGTTACATATGTATACATGTGCCATGTTGGTGTACTGCACGCATTAACTCGTCATTTACATTAGGTTTATCTCCTAATGCTATCCCTCCCCCCTCCCCCAACCCCACAACAGGCCCCGGTGTGTGATGTTCCCCTTCCTGTGTCCAAGTGTTCTCATTGTTCAGTTCCCACCTATGAGTGAGAACATGCGGTGTTTGGTTTTTTGTCCTTGTGATAGGTTGCTGAGAATGATGGTTTCCAGCTTCATCCATGTCCCTACAAAGGACATGACATCATCATTTTTTTATGGCTGCATAGTATTCCATGGCGTATATGTGCCACATTTTCTTAATCCAGTCTATCATTGATGGACATTTGGGTTGGTTCCAAGTCTTTGCTATTGTGAATAGTGCCGCAATAAACATATGTGTGCACGTGTCTTTATAGCAGTATGATTTATAATCCTTTGGGTATATATCCAGTAATAGAATGACTGGATCAAATGGTATTTCTAGTTCTAGATCCTTGAGGAATCGTCACACTCTCTTCCACAATGCTTGAACTAGTTTACAGTCCCACCAACAGTGTAAAAGTGTTCCTATTTCTCCACATCCTCTCCAGCACCTGTTGTTTCCTGACTTTTTAGGGATCGCCATTGTAACTGGTGTGAGATGGTATCTCATTGTGGTTTTGACTTGTATTTCTCTGATGGCCAGTGATGATGAGCATTTTTTCGTGTGTCTTTTGGCTGCATAAATGTCTTCTTTTGAGAAGTGTCTGTTCATATCCTTCGCCCAATTTTTAATGGGGTTGTTTGTTTTTTTCTTGTAAATTTGTTTGAGTTCTTTGTAGATTCTGGATATTAGCCCTTTGTCAGATGAGTAGGTTGCAAAAATTTTCTCCCATTCTTAGGTTGCCTGTTCACTCTGATGGTAGTTTCTTTTGCTGTGCAAAAGCTCTTTAGTTTAATTAGATCCCGTTTGTCAATTTTGGCTTTTGTTGCCATTGTTTTTGGTGTTTCAGACATGAAGTCCTTGCCCATGCCTATATCCTGAATGGCATTGCCTAGGTTTTCTTCTAGGGTTTTAATGGTTTTAGGTCTAACATGTAAGTCTTTAATCCATCTTGAATTAATTTTTGTGTAAGGTGTAAGGAAGGGATCCAGTTTCAGCTTTCTACTTAGGGCTAGCCAGTTTTCCCAGCACCATTTATTAAATAGGGAATCCTTTCCCCATTTCTTGTTTTTGTCAGCTTTGTCAAAGATCAGATGGTTGTAGATGTGTGGTATTATTTCTGAGGGCTCTGTTCTGTTCCATTGGTCTATATGTCTGCTTTGGTACTGGTACCATTACCATGCTGTTTTGGTTACTGCAGCCTTGTAGTATAGTTTGAAGTCAGGTAGCATGATGCCTCCAGCTTTGCTCTTTTGGCTTAGGATTGTCTTGGCAATGCAGGCTCTTTTTTGGTTACAAGTGAACTTTAAAGTACTTTTTTCTAATTCTGTGAAGAAAGTCTTTGGTAGCTTGATGGGGATGGCATTGAATCTATAAATTACCTTGGGCAGTATGGCCATTTTCATGATATTGATTCTTCCTATCCATGTAGCTCACACTTTATAAATGAGAAGATGTAGTATTTGATTGTCTGTTTCTGAGTTAACTCACTTAGGATGATAGCCTCCAGCTCCATTCATGTTGCTGCAAAGGACATGATTTTGTTCTTTTTCATGGCTGCATAGTATCCCGTGGTGTATACATACCACATTTAGTTTAATCAACTGTCGATGGACACTTGGGTTGATTCTGTGTCTTTGCTATTGTGACTAGTGGGTGTATTTTTAATATAATGATTTCTGTTCCTTTTTTTGTTGTTATTGTGAATAGTGCTGCAATACTAGCTCAGGCATATTTTTAATATAATGAGCTCTGTTCTTTTTTTTTTTTAGATGGAGTCTCGCTCTGTCACCCAAGCTGGAGTGCAGTGGCGCGATCTTGGCTTACTGCCAGCTCTGCCTCCTGGGTTCATGCCATTCTCCTGCCTCAGCCTCCAAGTAGCTGGAACTACAGGCGTCTGCCACCACGCCTAGCTAATTTTTTGTATTTTTTTAGTAGAGACAGGGTTTCACCATGTTAGCCAGGCTGGTCTTGATCTTCTGACCTCGTGGTCCGCCTGCCTTGGCCTCTGAAAGTGCTGGGAATATAGGCATGAGCCACCGTGCCTGGAAGATTTCTGTTCCTTTTAGTAGATAGCCAGCAATGGGATTGCTGGGTATAATGGTAGTTTTATTTTTACTTCTTTGAGAAATCTCTTTACTGTTTTCTGTAGAGGTGTTACTAATTAACATTCCTACCAACGGTGTATAAGCATACCCTTTTCTCAGTATCCACACTAACGTCTGTTGTTTTTTGACTTTTTGATAATAGTCATTCTGACTGGTATAAGTTGATATCCCATTTCTCTGATGATTAGTGATGTTGAGCCTTTTAAATGTTTCTTGGCTACTTGTATGTCTTCCTCTGGGAAAGGTCTTTCTCAGTCTTCCTCTCAGAAATTCTGTTCATGTTCTTTGCCCACTTTTTAATAGGGTTTTTTTTTTTTCTTGTTGAAATGTTTGAGTTTGTTGTAGATTCTGGCTATTAACCCTTTGTTGAAGCATAATTTGCAAATATTTTCTCCCATTCTCTAGATTGTCCATTTATCCTGTTACTTCTTTAGCTGTGCAGAACTTTTGAAAATTTAATTATGTCCCATTTGTCTGTTATTGTTTTTTGTTGAATTTTCTTTGGGGGTCTTAGTCATAAATACTTTGCCTAGGCCAGAAGAGTTTTTCTTAGGACTTTTATAGTCTCAGGTTTTAAAATTTAA
Organism: Homo sapiens; assembly: GCF_000001405.40. Taxonomy (NCBI): domain Eukaryota; kingdom Metazoa; phylum Chordata; class Mammalia; order Primates; family Hominidae; genus Homo; species Homo sapiens. The sequence goes on from NT_187549.1 coordinate 28,581, forward strand.
GTCTTTAATCCATCTTGAGTTAATTTTTGTATATCGTGAGAAATAGAGGTCCAGTTTCATTCTTCTGCATGTGGCTAGCCATTTTTCCCCACTGTTTATTTTTGTTGGCTTTGTCAAAGATCAGTTCGTTGGAAGTATATGGTTTTATTTCTAGGTTCTCTATTCTGTTCCATTCACCTATGTGTCTATTTTTGTACCAGTACCATGCTGTTTTAGTTATTATAGCCTTGTACTATAATTTGAAGTTGGGTACTGTGATGCCTCTGGCTTCATTCTTTTTGTTTAGGATTGCTTTGGCTACTGGGCTTTTGTTTTGTTTTGTTTTGTTTTTTGGTTTCATATGAACTTTAGGAATTTTTTTCTAATTCTGTGAAGAATAATATTGGTAGTTTGATAGGAATTTCATTGAATCTATAGATTTCTTTGGGCAGTATGATCATTTAAGAAATATTGATTCTTCTGATTTGTGAGAATGTGATGTTCTTCCATCTGTTTGTGTCATCTATAATTTCTTTCATCAGTGTTTTGTAGCTCTCCTTGTAGAGATAACTTACCTCTTTGGTTGAATTTATTCCTAGACATTTTATTTTTATCTTGGCTATTGTAAATGTAATTGAGTTCCTGATTTGGTTCTCAGCTTGAAAATTATTTGTGTATAGAAATGAGTAGTTAGATTTCAAGAGCACAACAATTAAAAAAAGTTTTCAAGTTTTCATATCTAGCTAACAGACATGTATAGAGAGCAAATTAATGACTAAACCCTAGAAAAGAAATTGTGTGAAGGTAGGTAGAGAATAAATAATATAAAAGGACAATAGGGTGAATGTCTCAAAAATGATGTGCACCACATGAATGTTATTGACAATTCAAACCTAAATACCCAATTGATGAAATGATACACACTTTATTATTAGAATTGCATTTAAAATATTGATGAATAATTTTTATGTTGTAGTTAAATTAAGATCAGAAAGTTTGACCACGAAACCTAAATATAAATAATATTTATCAAAATGTTTTTCTCCAACTCCCTAAATAAGTCTACAATTTTCTCTGGTGTCGAAGTAATCTTTTGGTAAAATATTAAACATCCTTGAAGGGGTTGTAATTCTTTCAGACCATGCTTGTATTAAGTAGTATATTTATAACTGCTCAAGTTATTTATTCTGACTAAATTATATCCTACTACCAAGAGTTGACTTAGTGACTGGTAACTACTGTGAATAGCACCCATTTTATGTATAACAGCTTTCTAAACGCTTCATATCAACAAGCTTCCCAATAATAATAAATATTCAGGAATCACCCATATCCATCTTTCTCCAGCTTCATTGATGGAAGACTCATATGAGGTATTTGCTAAACAAACAAATTCTCAAGCCTCAACCTGGACCTTCTGAATAATAATCTTATGTGTAAATTGATGATCTCCATGTTTAATGATCACCTCTGGGAATTCTTTTTTTTTTTTTTTTTTTTTTTTTTGGAGATGGAGTCTTACTCTGTCACCCAGGCTGGAGTGCCATGGTGCAATCTCAGCTCACTGCAACCTCCACCTTCTGGGTTCAAGCAATTCCCCTGCCTCAGCCTCCCAAGTAGCTGGGACTACAGGCACATGCCACCACGTCTGGCCAATTTTTGCATTTTTACTAGAGATAGGGTTTCACCATGTTGGCCAGGCTGGTCTTGAACTCTTGACCTCAGGTGATCCACCCGTCTCGGCCTCTCAAAGTGCTGGGAATACAGGTATGAGCCACTGCGCCCGGCCAGAATTCTTATGATTAGGGGAGTATGGGAAGTCCTAACCTAGGTAATACATTTGAGATTCGTGGAGTACGTATCTTTATATTCTCCCACCACATATAATAAAGAGTCTTGCAAATATTTTAGTTATGTTTGAGACTATTAAAAACAACCTAATTAATACTCGTGAGTATATAGTAAACACTCATAAATACACATCTCCATAAGTCAAGATTATGTTGCTCTCCAGGGAAATATATCAGAAATTTAAACCACTGCAAGATTCTGATGACAGTTTGCTCAATTTAGAAAGAGAAAGGCTATTTGGAATAAAAACAGCTTTTACAAAAGAATTTCAAAAATGTGATGCTATATCCTCTTAAAGTCATTGTAACTATATTAAAGATACAAGCTGATACATTGTATATATAACATTTCCCCCATTTTTACCATGACTTACACTTCCATGAAGATTCATTTGAAATGTGAATTTTGATTACTTGCTTTGCACGGAAATTCACTTAGCAAAACTTCAGCAGGTTGAAGCACAAGTAAATATGATGAACTACAGTACAAGAATAGTCTTATGATTTTAATAAAAATTACACAAATATATTATTTGAATAATTACTACCAAGTAGTCAAAAATAGCTGCCTATATCAAAAAATACATTAGAGTATTAATTTGCTGAACAATTCTGGTGGGCAGGTGTACTGTTCGCAGATTTAAGAAAAAATGCACACACACACACAGACACACACACACACACGCCCTCAGACACAGATGCTCCTTGACTTACAATGAAGTTAAATCCTGGTAAAGCCATTGTAAGCTGACAATATCAACTTGAAATGCATTTATTTAATACAACCAAACTACTAAACATTATAGCTTAACCTAGCCTAACTTCAGTAGGCTCAGAGCAGCTACATTAGACTATAGTTGAACAGAATCATCTAACAGAAACCTACTTTATAATAGAGTTTGAATAACTCATTTAATTTATTGAATATTATACTGAAAGTGAAAAACACAATAGTTGTATGGGTACTTGAAGTATGGTTTCTACTGAGCATATATCACCTGCTTACCATTGTAAAGTTGAAACATTGTAAGTCAAACCATTGTTAAGTCAGTGACTCACTCTCTCTCTCTCTCTCTCTGTCTCTTTGTGTATGTGTGTGTGTATGTGTGTATTACCTGCTTGCAAGAACTAGCTAATAGTCTAACTCAGGGGTTGGCAAACTTCTGAAAATAGCCAGATAATACATATTTTAGGTTTTGCTGGCCACAAAGTCTGTCACAACCACTCTACTCTGCCATTGTAGCCTGAAAGCTGCTACAGTCAATATGTAAACAAACAAATGTGTATTCCAATAAAATTTTATTTATAAAACAGGCATTCAGCTGGATTTGGCTCACAGGCCATAGTTTGCCAACCTCTGATCTAATGGGGTAAAAAATTAAAAAGTACCAGATGAAGCTTACATAATATCTATCTTGTAAGTTTATTCTCCTCCCTGTCTGTACATACCGTTTCTCAGATCAAAAGGTAGAGCTCACTTTCCTTCTCTTTGAATTCTGACTTATAACTGAATATGACCACGAGAATAGCAATTTCAGAAGAAGAAATGATGTTCTGAGACCTTGAAGTCCAGGCTTTAAGAGGAATGGAAGTTTCTACTTTTGGCCTTTTGGAACGCAGTCACCATGCTGTGAGGATCCCAGATCATATGGAAAGACCACGTAGAGGAGAACAGAGGTGCTCCAGTTGGCAGCCCTAATTAAGCTCCTAGTGGACAGTCAGAACCAACTGTAAGCCATTTTGGATGTTCTGGATGTCCAGGTTGAACCCCCCCCAGTGACTGCAGCCCCAGGGAGTATCACATGGAGCAGAAGAACTGACTGAGCCTAGCCAACTTGCAGTGTCATGAGAGATAATATAGTCATTGTTTTAAGTAACTACATTTTGGGATGGCTTGTGATACAGTAGTAGATACTTAAAACATCTCACTATTGGTATTATTTGTGTCCAGTTATTCATGCCTACCAATGACATGGAATCATAACTATAAGAACAAACTAGTAGTGTTAGTGAATCACTAAACAGCTCATGAATTTTTGTCCTCACATTTCCTAGTCTGAGTCATATTATTCAAAATTCCATTCTGGATATCTTGTATAACACATTCCAGGAATATGTGTAATATATTCCAAGATTCTCTGAATGTGTAACTGGAGGATTGTTTAAGAAACTAAGATTACATTTTTTAAGAGTTGGAAAGTCAGAGAATCTATGATCTGGTATGTCTGGGTCTCTCCCCATCCGCAGAAGACACAAATGAAAGCTAGACAATCTGAAATTATCCTCCTCTCTCTTACATCAAGAAGCCTAGAAAGTATAATAAAAAGACACTAATAATTAAAAATTTTGGTTGTGATCAAAAAGATACAACATATTTATTATAGGCTTACTATGTCCTGTTTGTGATTCAAGGATTTATCTGGAATATCTCATTTAATTCTCCCAACAACCTTGAGAGATATTATATTCCCATTTTTCTGATGATGAAGTCAAGATTTGGTCATTGTATACAACTATAATGAACACTGCCAAGATTCAAACCTAGACTGTTTTTTTCCAGAGTACAGGTACGTATTAGTCCATTTTCACACTGCTATAAAGATACTACCTGAGACTGGGAAATTTATTTTTTTAAAAAAGATTTAATTCACTCAAAGTTTCACATGGCTGGGAAGGCCTCAGGAAACTTACAATCATGGCAGAAGGTGAAGGGGTTACAATCATGGCAGAAGGGGAAAGGGAAGAAAGGTACATCTTACATGGCATTGGTAGAAAGAGAGAATGTGCAGGGGAAACTCAACAAGATCTTCTGAGAACTCCCTCACTATCATGACAGCAGCATGGGGGAAACTGCCACCATGATCCAATCACCAGTTCCCTGCCTTGATATGTGGGGGTTACAGTTAGAGATGAGATTTGAGTGGGGATGCAGAGCCAAACCACATCATTCTGCCCCGGCCCCTCCCAAATCTCATGTCCTTTTCATATTTCAAAACCAATCTCATTCCTTCCCAACAGTCCCCCAAGGTCTTAACTCATTCCAACATTAACTCAAATGTCCTAGTCCAAAGTCTTATCTGAGACAAAGCAAGTCCCTTTTGCCTATGAGCCTCTAAAATCAGAAACAAATTAGTTACTTCCAAGATAAAATGGGGGTACAGGATTTGCCTATGAGACTCTAAATCAGAAACGAGTTAGTTACTTCCAAGATAAAATGGGGGTACATTCACATGATAAATGTTCCTATTGAAAAGGGAGCAATTGGCCAAAACAAAGGGCCTGCAGGCCCCATGCAAGTGTGAAACCCAGCCAGGGTTCTTAAAACTCCAAAATCTCTTTTGACTATATGTCTCACATCCAGGGCATGCTGATGCAAGGGATGGGCTTCCAAGGCCTTGGGCAGCTCTATCCCTGTGGCTCTACAGGGTACAACCCCTTTGGCTGCTTTCAGGGACTGGTGTTTAGTGCTTGCTGTTTTTCCAGGTACATGGTGCAAGCTGTTAATGGATCTACTATTCTGGAGTCTGGGGGATGGTGGCCCTCTTCCACTAGGCAGTGCCCCAGTGGGGACTCTGTGTGGGGGCTCCAATCCCACATTTTCCTTCTGCACTGCCCTAGCAGAGGTTCTCTATGAGGACTCTGCCCCTGCTGCAGACTTCTGCCTGGACATCCAATCCATACCTCCTCTGAAATCTCGGCAGAAGCTCCCAAAGCTCAACTCTTGTCTTCTGTGCACCCGCAGGCCAAACACCATGTGGAAGCTGCCAAGGTTTGGGGCTTGCACTCTCTGAAGCAATGGCCTGAGCTGTACGTTGGCACATTTTAGCCAGGCAGGAGCTGGAGCAGCTGGGACATAGAGCACCACATCCCAAGGCTGCACAGAGCAGTGGGATCCTGGGCCCGGATCATGAAACCATTTTCCTCTCTTAGACCTCCAGGCCTGTGATGGGAGGGGCTGCCATGAAGGTCTTTGACATGCCCTGGAGACATTTTTCCCCATTGTCTTGGCTATTAACATTTGGCTCCTTTTAACTTATGCAAATTTCTGCAGCTGGCTTAAATTTTTCCCCCCAAAATGGGCTTTTCTTTTCTACCACATGGTTAGGCTGCAAATTTTCCAACCTTTTACACTCTGCTTCCCCTTTAATCATAAGTTTCAATTTCAAACCATCTCTTTGTGAGTGTATATAACTGTATGCTTTCAGGAAAAATCAGGTCACCTCTTGAATGCTTTGCTGCTTAGAAATTTCTTCTGCCAGGTACTCTAAATCATCTCTCTCAAGTTCAAAGTTCCACACATCTCTAGGGCAGGGGGCAAAATGCCACCAGTCTCTTTGCTAAAGTATAGCAAGAGTCACTTTTATTCCAGTTCCCAACAAGTTCCTTATCTCCATCTGAGACCACCTCAGCCTGGACTTCATTGTCCATATCACTATCAGCATTTTGGTCAAAACCTTTCAACAAGTATCTAGGAGTTCCAAACTTTCCCACATCTTTCTGTCTGTTTCTGAGCACTCCAAACTGTTCCAACCTCTGCCTGTTACCCAGTTCCAAAGTTGTTTCCACATTTTCAGGTTATTTTTATAGGAGTATGCCACTATTCTGGTACCAATTATCTGTATTAGTCCATTTTCACACTGCTATAAAGAACTACCTGAGACTGGATAATTTATGAAGAAAAGGGGTTTAATTGACTCACAGTTCCACATGGCTGGGGAGGCCTCAGGAAACTTACAATCACGGCAGAAGGCAAAGGGGAAGCAAGGCACATCTTACATGGCAGCAGGAGAGAAAGAGAGAGCACAGGGGAAACTGCCACACACTTATCAAACAACCAGATCTTATGAGAACTCCCTCACTGTCACGAGAGCAGCATGGGGGAAACAACCTCCATGATCCAATCACCTCCCACCAGGTCCCTCCCTCAATATGTGGGGATTACAATTTGAGATGAGATTTAGGTGGGGACACAGAGGAAAACCATATCAAGGTGCCTAGCATCAGACCAATAATACCACAATGCATATCTGTTCTTAGCCCAAACTTTTCTGCTGAATGTGACCCCTGCATTTTGTGACCAAATGACTAGCCACGGTGGTTGGCTAGCACAGCAGAATGGCTAGAATCAGCCTAAGAAGAGCTCACTTTCATCCATACACTCACTGTTTCTAACTTGGAACCCTGATTTACAGGACAGTTAAAATGAGAATTCCTATCTTTAGATAAACTGAGTGGGGAAGGAGAAGAGGTGCTTTTCTGGGTGCCTCCGCTTCTGACTATTTCATCTTTGTACTTGGGCTTCAGTATTCAAACTGTCTACGTGAACAGCCGTTAATTCAGTCAACCTCAACACTCATCAAGTAGTGTATTATAAAACCCAGTTTATGTTGAAAATCCTATTCATGTGAATTTTTGAAAATGGAACATTGGAGTTTCAGAATGGCCACTTTTGGCAAAAATAGGGCTAAACAATGAAAGCAAATGAGAAAAATGTTTGACATTTTCCCTTCATATCTGAATTTGTGTGTTCCCACTGATGCCACATTCCTGAATATGAACTCAAACTCCTGCATTACACACAGCATGCTTCTGCCGGGCCCCATTATCTTTTCAGGCCCATTCATAATTTTAGTTATTGCTTTCTTGCCATTACAAAGGTTAGTGCAAAGTACACATCTCACAGGTCTATGGCTATAGCAAAGCTAAACAACTAATGTTCAGCTTTCATTGAATACTGAATATTAAGGGGCACAATGAAAAATTCTCATCTTTTCATCCTCTGGATGGAAACAACACCAGTGTATATAGAAAGCTATCTTTTCTTGCCTTTCCTATTTGACTTTCATCACTTCTTGATGTTTGGTAATTATTTCTCTACAAGTGCATTTTGCATGGTTCCCAGGTCCCTCCCTCAATCTGTGGCTAATACAGATTAATGTTGTCTCAGTCTAGCTTCAAATTGCATGCTGGTGTGATTTTCAGATTCTCACTCTTAACTAAAAGAACAAGTTTCAGAAAATTTCTTAACATGTTTATATATTTCTTGATTTGTGGCTAGTTCATCACAGGAGAGGCATAAAATTTAATATTTAAGAAAGGGTAATTTCACTAAGCCACAAAAAAATAAAACTTACACTCTCGTAAGGTAGAAATACAGGTTTACAATAAATATATATTTATTGATTGAATAAGTGTGAAAATACTTCAGTTAGCTAAAGAATTTCAAAAGTCTCCTTCTAGGCTTATGGAAAGTACATGCATGACATGATACATAGAAGTTAGAGAAGTCCTCATTTTGCCCCTTTCTTTTCTTTCTTCTTTGTGGTCACAGTTTATTGACTCTTTAAAATGATGGGATTTTACAGAATTCATACTATTACCTTTTTGCCTATGTTGTATAATATAGACAAAAGCTAAATAGTAAGTGAAGCGAAAGGCTGAGGATAGAAAGGAAACCTCATTCTTTCACTGATATTTTTTCCTCATGTTTGTGTTTTTCTTGTCTACCAATATAGGTCCACAACGTAAAATCAATAATTGGTCAGTTTTTTTAGAAACAGGTGGTTGAATCAAGGCTAGAGCAATATGAATAGAAAAAAAAATCAGAGATGTTACCTTTATAGATAGAGCATTTCCTAGTTGTTTTAAACTGTGGTAAGTTGCAAAATCTGTTCAAGACATTTCTCATAAAAACTGCTGTAAATGTGGAATGTTTACTATGTGCCAGATATTACACTAAGCACTCACAGACATATTTCATTTAAAACACAGGACCTCCTGAATCTATTTCTCAAATGGAGAGTCCAGATCCATTTGTTAAAACAGTTTAGTGGATCACGACTAGCATTAAAAAAAATAAATTAGATTGGAAAATAACATCGTGCATCATATATAATAATAGCAAATACTGCTTCTTAAAATGTTTGTTTCAGTGTATGTGCGTGTATGTGTGTGTGTACATGTGTATGCATGTGTGCACATGTACTGAGTCCTAATGTAAAATGTACTTTTTACTGATAGACACAATTGAAAAACTTCAGAAGTCCTGCGCTATAATGTCATAGTATTATATTAATTTTTACAGGAAAAATAAGAACAAAATAAAAAAATCCAGCTTTATAATTCGAACTTCCAAAGTTCCCCAATGAATTAGTTTCCACAGAGTTTTTAATGGAGACTAAGATAATGTTATCATTGCACGTTGCTTCCTGTCTCTCTCATGGTTTGCATTTATTTAGCATCCAGGCAGGCCTAACACGGGGTGATTAAATCTCCTCCTCAGATCAGGCCATCTGTGCCATTGAGTAAGTGAGATACTTCAAATAAGTGAATGATGAATTCTGTTCCAGACTGTCCCATAAAATTATAATAAAAATAATAATGAAGTGCTCTATAATAAAAAGAAAGTCATTACAAATACCGTGCTATTGATTTCAAAGGGCAGTAATTTTAGAGGAGCTCTTTCATCTGTGTTATAAATCTCGGCAACCAGCGGAGAAAATGTCAGGATTTTAAAAGCAAACAAATAGAAAAAAAAAATGCCTTCCTGCTCATCTTTCATGCTGTTTTGAGTAAAACTAAGGTAGCACAAATATTTAAACAGATGGCTCAATGATATGCTTTTTTCTTTACTAATCATAGTTATTAAAGCACTCACTTCATTTTTATTGTGTTTTAAACGGGCAGAGAAAATCTGAGTCTGATAATGACCTTTGTACATCATGCTGCAAATTGATTTTGATGACCTTTCACTCTCCGATAATTAGGCTGGCTTCATCTCCCTCCCTCCCTCCACTCTCCAAGTGCGTGGTGCGGTGTTTTTCCTGCCTGCCCCTCCAAACCCTATTCCCCTCCCCCTAGCTTTGTCTCTCCCATTGCTGGATTGGGTTTCTTTCTCCTCTCTGAAAGCCACAGATTCTTGAATAAAGAATGAATAGAGGTATTTAGAGGCTGACAAAAAAGAAGAATAGTTATTTTACTGATGTTTTGAATGATCAAATATCTGAATTGTCATGTAATTATGACCATTACAATGATGTCATTGCCATAGTCATTTGGCGATTGTGTACATTGTGTTGAAGACATTACCACATTGAATTATACCTCAGTAGTTTAATGAATTTTATAAGGGTGTTTCTTTGTGACTAATGTGAACAGATGGTAGAAGTGGAAAAGAAATAAACTATGCCTCATTTTCCTTTACATTTTCTTTGTATTATGCTCTGAAATTAAGAACACTAGACTAACACACATTTATACACATATTTTAAAATTATAACCTTTAAAAATGCACTTCATCAGATACCTCTAAACCCCATATTTACTTTCTTTAGTGTTTTTTGTTTTTGCTTTTTTATTGTGGTAAAAATATAATATTATTTATTATTTAAGCCATTTTTAAATTCACAATTCAGTGGCATTAAGTACATTCACAATATTATACAGCCATCACCACTCTCCGTTTCCAGAACTCTTCATCATTCCAAACTTTTAGACATATTTTTAAACAACCACACATTTTTAGTCCATTAGGAAACATTTCTGTCTTTCTTACATGAGGTTCATTAAATCATATTCTTAATATAATTGTTTATGTATGAATCCCTAAGCCTGAGGTTCATTATGAATGTATTTTCTTCAGGATTCAAGATTTCAGAGGACAGTTTATTGAGGACTAGTAAATCCAAGAAACTTTATAAGTGATAATAATATCTAACATTTATTTCTTCTGAGAGAAGCACTAAGCTAATTACTGCACATGTTAAGGGGAAAAATTAGATAATAAAAGGTCTCGTAAAACATTCTGTAAGGCAAAGTTGCTGTTATTATTATTATTATTAATTTGATGTTTCCTACAAGTATATATTGTGAACGTGAACCAAACCACAATAGTAAGATCATAACCAGACCTAGTCTTAAGGGTTTGCAGTTCCCTAAGTTAACTCTGTTTTTTCCCCTTGACTATTAGGATTGAACCCGGGAAACTGAAATCATACTATGATTTTTAAATGGAGGGAAGCCAGTGCAGGAAGTTGGGCATACAAGTGATAGAAATCCTGAAAACCTGTCAGGAGACCCTGAGGCAACCCAAGTATGAGCAACAACAGGAAGCCACTACAAGGCTGAAGGACCAAAGTGGTGGTGCTGTGTTATGGGAGCCCAGGAGTGGAAGTCACTTCATGCAAACTGAGGCCCTGAGGGAGGCGTAACCGTAATGAGAAATGCTTCCACAGAGAGACAGGAAGAGAAATAATCCTGACTTCTCTCTCTGCCTCATATGTTTTAATCTTCCTATGATTTTTTTCCATTGGCCAGACCTAACCAGAAGCCTTGTGATGAGGTAGCCTGGGACACACAGTCTAGAGGGAGGAGCAACTCTTTCCTTCCCGGTGTCACAAAGAGCAGAGCTGGAGAAGGGCAAGGAACAGATACTCGGTCGAAGACCAGCACTAAATTTCCAACTCAGGAAATACCCTCCTTTAACAAAGGCGAAAAGAGGAAAATGTAGAACGATTGTTGGAGGAGATGATGAGCCGTGCTTTGAGAAAGCTTCTCAGGGAAGATGACACCTGTCAACTTTCTTATCTGTGAATCTTTTCTTTTCCTCCTTCCTGACATCCAATCCATAGATAAGTCTTATCTGTACACTCCAAAACATGTTTCACAGCCAACTACTTCACCACTTCCATTGCTACCATGGTCCTCTCTTACTTGGATTTTTGCAATCATCTCCTAAATGTTTTTATTGCTATTGTTCTCTTTTTAAAATTGAAGTAAAATTTACATACAATGATATGCACAGATTTTAAGTGAGTTTTGACAAACCTATCTGCCCATGTAACCAACACCTTGATCTCCTGTGTCCATTCATTTCAGTCAAATTCCACCCATTATGTGCAACCACCATTCCAATTTCTAACACCACAGATTTATTGTATCTGTTATTAAATTTCACATAAATAGAATCGTACAGTATGTATCTTTGCACATCTGGCTTTTTTACTCATTATAATGTTTTTGAGATTCATCCAGGTTGTTATATGCATTATTAGTCATGTTTTTGTCAATTTCTGATTAGAATTCCATTTTATGAATATACTGTAATATGTTTATCCATTCTCCTGTTGATAGACATTTGGATTGTTTCCTACTTTTTGCTATGAGTAAAGCTATTATAAACTTTCAAGTACAAGTGTTTTGGGGCAATTAGATAAATCCTTAAGAGTGAAATTCACTGACCGTATGATAAATGTAGCATATAATAAAATGCTCAACTGTATTCTGAAATGCTTGTACCATTTTACACTCTCACCATCATCAATATTTGAGCATTCAGGTTGCTCCACTATCTTGACAACATGGTATTACCAGTATTTTAAATGTAGCTATTTTAGAGGGTGTGAAGTGGTATCTTATTGAAGGTTTAATTTTCATTTATCTGACAATAAATAATTTTGAGATTTTTATGTGCTTTATGGCCATTCATATATTTTCTTTTGTGAAAGGTCTGTTCAAGTTTTTCTTTCTTATGTATTTGTCATTTAAGTGAGTTTTAGTAGTTCTTCATATATTCTGAATATAAGTCCTTTATCATTTATATATATATAACAAATATTTCTTCTAGTCTGAGCCTTGTATTTTTATCTTATTAAAGCTGGGTTGTTAGGTTTAATTTTGCTGAAATCAAATTTTTCTTTTTTTTTCTTTCTTTTTTCTTTTGTCTTTTATGGTTGGTGCTTACCATTTTCTTTCTTTCTTTCTTTCTTTTTGAGACAGAAGCTAGCTCTGTTACCCAGGGTGGAATGCGATGGAGCGATCTTGTCTCACTGCAACGTCCGCCTCCGAGGTTCAAACAATTTTTCTGCCTCAGCTTCCCGAGTAACTGGGATTACAGGTGCCCGCCACCTTGCCCAGCTAGTTTTTGTATTTTTAATAGAGACGGGGTTTTATCATGTTGGCCAGGCTGATCTTGAACCTCTGACATCAAGTGATCCACCCTCCTTGGCCTCACAAAGTGCTGGGATTACAGGCGTGAGCCACCGTGCCTGGCCCTATTTTCTCTTTAAGAAACCATTGCCTACCCCAAGGCCATAAGGATATTCTGTTATATTTTCCTCTAGAATTTTAAGACTTTAGCTTTTACATTTAGGTCTATGATTCATCTTTATTTAATTTTTGTGTATTATTTGAGACAGGGGTCAGGATTCATGTTTCTTTCATACATTTATCCAGTTGTTGCAATGCTACTTGCTGAAAAACCTTTTTTTCATATTAAATTCCCTCGATCTTTTGTTGAATAAAAAATAGACCTGTACGTATACACATCTATTTTTGGACTCTGCTGTTTTATTGAACTATATCTCTGTCCTTATTTGTCTGTAACTTTCTTGTTGCTGTACTGTAGCTTTGTAATAAGTCTTGAAGTAAGATAGTGAATGTTCTCCAACTATCTTCCTCTTTTTCAAAGATATTTTAGATTTTTTGCATTTCCCTGTATATTCTAGAATCAGCTTGTCAATTTCTACATAAAGGCCTAGTTAGATTTCTGATTAGACTTGTATCACACGTTAATTTGGGGAGTAATTGACACCTTTTCATCATTGAGTCTTCAAATCCATTAACACAGCATATGTCTTAGCTAGCTTGGGCCGCTACAACAAAATACAATAAACTGGGTGGCTTATAAACTATGAAATTTATTTCTCACAGGTCTGCTGGCAACAGGTTCTTTCAGCTTTTGTTTATCTAAAAATGCCTATTTCATGTTACATTTAAAAAAATGTTTTATTTGGAATACTTTGTACTATTTATTTGTATTTTCTCACATTAGAATGTGAGCAGTAGGAGGTTGGAAGCCTTATCTTGTTTACTTCTCTATTCACTTTACCTGGAATTGTGACTGCCATGCAGTATTGGCCAATTTGTTGGAAGAAAAGAAGGAAGGAAGAAAAAGAAAAAAAGAATGGAAAAATGAGTAGGGAGGAAAAGAAGGAAGAAAGGACAGAAGAAGAGAAGAAGGAAGAAAGAAAGGAAAACGGAAGGCAAGAAAATTAATTGGCATTGCTATTTATGGCCTCTGTGAAAATGTTTGTGTTTGGCAGTTTCTTGAAACATCAGTTGTATTCATCTGGTGTTTGAGTGCCACAAATTAGTTTGCTTAAAATAGCAATAAAAAATATCTGGCAATTGCTGGGCACTGTGGCTTAAGTCTATGTAATCACATTGGGAGACTGAGGCGGGAGGATCCCTTGAGCCCAAGAGCTCAAGACCAGCGTGGGCCACATGGCGAAACTCCAAGTCTACAAAAAATACAAAAATTAGCTGGGCATGGTGGTGCCTGTAGCTCCAGCTATTAGGGAGGCTGAGGTGGGAGAATCACTTGAGCCCAGGAGATGGAGGTTGCAGTGAGCAGAGATGGCGCACTACACTCCAGCCTGGGTACAAAGCAAGACCTGTCTTAAAAAAAAAATTATATATATATGTATACACATATGGCAAAAAAGAGGTAAAGGAAAATGCCAAATATATATAAGCTTTTAAAATTTATAATTCATTTTAAACTACAAAAAGACAATTTATGTCAACTGATCTGTGACAAAGGTGCCAAGGTCACATAATGGAGAAAGCAATCTCAAATAAGTGGTGCCAGGAAAATGGAATATCCACATGTAGAAAAATGAAATTGGGCCTTATCTCACCCCATATACAAAAATCAGCTTAAAAATGGGTTAAAGACTTAAACACAAGACCTGAAAGTATAAAACGACTGGAAGAAAACATAGAGGGAAAGCTTCTTTGACATTGGTCTTGGCAAAATATTTTTTAAAATATGACCTGAAAATATGACCTAAATAGACAAGTGAGATAACATCAAACTAAAAAGCTTGACAGAAACAATCAACAGAGTCAAGAGACAACCTACAGAATGGGAGAAAATATTGCAAATCATACATCTGATTTGGAGTTAAGATCCGAAATATATATGGAACTTAATATAAAAAAAATTAGGAAATGGTCAAATAACCTGCACAGACATTTCTCAAAGGAAGACACAAATGGCTAGCAGGTAATGGAAAAAAAATGCTTAACATCACTAATCAAAAGAGAAACACAAGTTACAACCACAATGAAATATTACCTCACACCTGTAAGAATGGCTTTTGTAAAAGTGTGAAATACAATTTCCTTCTTTTCTCTCCAATTTTCTTTAAAATCTCTTTACTCTCTAAGAGTCACCTTTTTTGAATGTTTATAGCTAGAAATAATCTACCATTAGCACCTTTTCGCTTTATGGTTCTTATCACTCTTTAAAATGATTTAAATATTTGGTTAAGTGATAAAATGTTTCATATTACCCGGATCTAGTCAAATTTTTTAATTGGCTGGGCTGTACATTATTACACTATTTAGATATACCATGACTTAAAACATCTGAGTGATATTTAAGTTATTCCCCATTTTAAAATTATCATGTTTTAATATAATTATGTATCATTATGTTTTTATGTAATTTGTGTTTGTTTTTAATTTGTATTTGTTTCAGGGTCAGGAAAGTTAAGACTTTTTCATATGCTGACTAGCTATTTGTTTCTTTTCTTATAAAGTGCCCTCTTTTGTTCATTGATGTTTCTTGTTGTTTGTTTTTTGTGAGTTTGCTCTCTGTTTTAAAAATCAATTTGTAAAGCTTTTTCTCTAAATTTAGGTAATTAGCTGTGGGTCCTGTGTTTCTTGTTTGTTAAATGCTTTTTCCTTTTGTAATGTTTTAAGCTTTGCTGAAAGAGTGTTTTTTTTTTAGTGTTGTCTAAATTATCAAATTTATGGTTTCTGAATTTTGTGTCTGCTTAGAAAGACCATCTCCACCCTAAGTTATAAATAAATTCAGTCACGTTTTCATCCAGTTCTTTAATGGCTTCATTGTTTACTTTAAATCTTTGCTCCATCTGGAGTTTATTTTTATCTAAGTAGTGATTTGGAGATGTGGTTTTACTTTTTCCAAATGACTATATAGTTATCACAGATTTATTGAAAATTTTATCTTTACCCACACTGGTTTGAAATGCTCTCTTTATGGTAATTTCCGTATGTATTTGGGTGTGTTTCTGGACTTTCTTTTCCATTGATGCTTTTGTGTATTCCTGGCCTATTACTGAAGTGATATGAACTGCAGCTTTACCGTATGTTTTATTATCTGGTACAACTCCTTATTCTTCCTCTTTATAATCCAGCTAGTTTTATATATTTACTTTTCAGGCTACTGTAGTGACAGTTTTATTTTGTAGATTTTAGAGTGTTCTTTTTTTTCCCCAAAAGAAATGATGATTTAACATTGAGCTCTTATTTCTAAGAACAAGATAAATTGCAATTTATTGAAGGCATACAGTATGTCTTTCCATAGATTCTGAAAAATGTTCACCTTGTAATGTCCTACACATTCCATATAAAGTTTGTTTTTATAAAGATCTTTCTGTTTGGGACTGTGATTGAGATCTTTTCTTCCATTATATTTTTAAAGTGGTTATTATTTATATATGAGAGTTTATATTTATTAACTATATAAATATCATAATGTCTTCATTTGTAACAAATTTCTAGTTCATTCTATTTTTTCACATATGCAATTATATTATCTGTAAACAACACTTTATCTTTTATTTTTAAATATTTATAATCTGTTTCAGATTAGTATAATTGTTGGTAGTACTGCTCATCTGGGTCCAAAATCAGATATTGCCAAGTTAGTGAAACGTTCTGATCCTCAGTTTTCTCATCTGTAAAATGCTGAGAAGGGCAGCACTTACCCCAAAGGGATAATATAATGATCCAGTTAGTAAGTGTACAAAGCAATTAGCAAAATGCCGAGAACATAATAAGCATTTACAAATGTTAATCATTGTTTTATTTTTTCTCAAAGTTAATTACAGAGTCTAGTCTTTTATTATCATCATTAAATAATATTAATAGCAATTTTAAATGACTTTTAATGTTGATATGTGGAATGGCCTAATGGTCTATGTGCAGAGTATTGATTATAGTATAGTGAACATAGAGTCTAGATTTTCTAGAGCTACCACAGCGTGCAATTTTATTATTTTAAATAAAGGCAATAAATTATTATGAATCTAGATGGCACTTAATTTTATGTTTCTGTGAGATATAAATATAAGTGAATTCACAAAGTGGAAAAAGAATGATGATAGTAGGAAGCTTTGATTAATATTTCATTCTTTAATGGAAATATTTATTACTTTGTATTTATATCCTAAATATTTATTTACGCTTTATCTTTCCTGATTTTAAAAAAGTAGGCATCATACTTAGTTGACTGATCTGCAGCGTCAGTTGAGAAAATTGACAGAACCTTATATGGCGTGTTGCCCCAAAAAGACATTCAATAAATATTGTTTGAGTAAAGGCACAAATAAATAAATCTAACGATTAAGAAATAAATGGACTCAGAGAGTATATATTTTTTTCCAGATTCCACAGGATGCGAGCATATGCAGTGGAAACATTGTGTTATTCCATCCTCAGAAGAAAAGAGACAGTATTATACTTCGTCTCTTGCTAGTACAGGTAACATTCTTTATTAAGAGAAATATATTTAATCAGGAGTCACTATGTGCAAAAACATTAAGTAGAGGCTTAAAATGTTAAATACTCTTTCATCAAGGAAGGTTTTGTTTTTTTTTTTCCTTAATGCACATGTGTTAAATCTTACTCTAATCAGCTAGTTTTTTTCTTTTACTCAGAGTGGAAATTGCGGGTATCTTGTTTTTACTGTAAAACCTGATTTATATGCCTCAGCTAAATGCAGAGATTTCATTTGTGAATGCTAGTCAGTGATTTATTTCATTGTTTTCTTTTTTGGACAAGTCACAGCAAAATATTTTTTTTTCAAGCAGGATGGCATTAACCTTTTCTGATTGCAAAGCCACTCTCCTAGCAATATCAATAATACTTTGTCATTTCGGTCAGTTACTTTACTACATTTGGTAAACAAATAAATACAGCCCTACATATCAAAAAACTAAAATGACCAGTTTGAGAATCAGCCCTTTGATAATCATCTACAACAGATTTTGGAGCCTCCGTAATATTTCAAAGAATTGGCCTTTTTCCAGTTGCTGCTGATATTGGGATTTGAGTTAATTGCCGATGCATCTCAAACAACAGAGCAGGTGCTAGTGGAAAGAACATTCCCTGTATTTTCTTTGTTATTTATAGTCAGAGCTCTTCTCCACTAAACCCTTGAGCTGGCTTTTTAGAGCCCACTGTATAACAATTTCATTCACTTTCATGTCAACAAGCTTTGGCTTGATAAATTAAAATGGAAAAATGCTGGCTAAAGCACCACAGCCCTACATGATTCATTTTGCTGCAAGTTTCTGGCAGCTGCCCAAGAATGACCTACTATCTTTCTAGTGTCCTTATCATTTTCCCATCTGGAAAGGGCTAAACCTTACTGTACACTGGGGAGTTAAGGGCCTGTGCAGGCTGCATTTGAAGGCCATTAACAATCATAACTCTACAAATCATCACCCTCTTCCAGGCAAGGTTAGGACTACTCTATAGGATAGTTAGGAAGGTCAATATTTTACTTTTATTTAAATAAATACAAAAAAGGGCACAATGTCTTTAATTACCTAGGACTGCATGCTAACTCGAACCGTTATATTTTTAAACATTTTGATCTGTCTTATAATTAACCAAAGGTAATTTAGAGGAGCCCATCCTAAATTATGTAACTTCTGATATTAGCTGTGAATTTACTATTAAGCTAAGTTATTTATTTATTCACTTAATCTTCCTTTATACAAATGGATTTTCTTTATGGAGTCATAGGTAGGATGGCTATTTTAGTGATTATTTTAACAATTAACTATCAAGTTGCAAAAGCTATTAGGGAAAAATACCTTATTTTTGAAAAGAGAGGCTAAATGATGGAAGAATCATTATAAACTCTAGTTACAAGCTTGTCCAACCCATGACCCACAGGCTGCATGCAGCCCAGGATGGCTTCGAATGCAGTCCAACACAAATTCGTAAACTTTCTTAAAACATTATGAGACTTTTTTTTTTTTGCTCATCAGCTATCATTATTGTAAGTGTATTGTATGTGTGGCCCAAGGCAATTCTTCTTCCTTCCACACTCCTGCTAATTATAGCAAAGTTTTATCATTTATAAGTAGGGTTTCTTAACTAATACTATGTGTAGATTATAAGTAAATTAAGTTTAAAACCTGATACTAACTGAGGATTTATCACCCAAGAAATTGTCGAAGCATAAATATGAGGCTGTGAATTCTAAACAATTACAACTTTTAGGAAATGAAAGCTCCCTTGTTACTCGATATTTAAACTAACAATTTAAGGCTTTCAGCAGTGAACTTATAATGCACGTTGGTAATTGTTAGTCTTGTCTCTAAAGTGGAAAAAGATGTAGAGATGGCCAGGATCTTTGACCAGCCATCATTGCTAGGGTAATGAGGAAGAGCTAAACACAGAGGGCAAAGCCAAGCAAAATGCTCACTCTTTTTTTTTTTTTTTTTTTTTTTTGAGATGGAGCCTCGCTCTATCACCCAGGCTGGAGCGCAGTGGCGCGCAAATTATCTCCCTGCTTGCCACCCCAAACTGGTCATTTGTTTAGGAAATGTAACCACTTGCAGGGGCTGCTGGGTGGTTAGAAAAGTCCAGAAACTTGAATCTTGAATCCTGTCTGGCAACTGAAACACTGGAAGGCTGCGGAGAAAAGGAAGGGAAGAAAATGCAGTTTCAAAATTAGTGTTGCTGGTATTGAATTCTGCCTAGAAAGATGCTTATTTGGGGGTGGGGTGGAGGAGGTGGCAAAAAAACTTCCAATGGGATTTTGTTTTTATAAAGGTAAACTCAAGATATAATCCTGGAATGGAAACTGAGAGTTAAATGTCTGTGAATAATAATGAAAGAGGTAAACGTCACGGTGAATAGAATTGAGACAGTAGGGTAATTCTATACCTGTGTGGCAGATCTGAGAATGGCCTGTCAGCACCTCTGTGAGGCTTGAGACTCAGGGTCGGGGCAGTAACTCCAGGCTAAGAAGAATATAGTCAAAGACTCTCCCACTGCAAGGGAATTTTCAACTTTTCATTCAGTCATTTAACTAATATTCATTCACTGGGCACCTACCTTATGCTGACATTGTCTAACTGGGCAATGGTCATAAAGAATCCTTGGGATTGGGTATGGCCCTGAGAGTGTAAGAGCAGGAATGCTTACCTAATTTATTTCTGTTTGTTTCTTTTCCTTTTCTTTTTTTCATGTCACTTCTATACTCTTGAGCTGTTACTAAAGTTTTATTAAACCCCACAGCCTTGTTGTAGATTGTGGTTAAGAATTTAAGAGAGGAATGTTTTTTAGCTTAAAAGCAAAGTGACATGACAATATAAAATTGCCGATATTAAGAGAAAAAAGAGAATCGTTTTATGTGATAGCAATAGATGGCCAGAAAGAATGGGGCAAGACAGCAGCTTGCTAGAGTAACCAACAACCACAGAATAAAGCTGTGGCCCATATCAACCCTCCTCAAAAGAGTCTCAGAAATGCTTCTAAGGAGTGCCTAAATGGCCAATACTGCCCTCAGATTTAAGCAAGTGAGGTCTTTTTGGTGCCTGGGCTTGGTTAGGCCAACCGTTCCTTTGGGATAAGGTGACCTGAATCTGCACCAGGGATGCATGAGCCCTGGTCCATGTTTTTTCCTTTCAGGGTATTCTCCCACCATTTTACCCCCACCCCACCTTTAACAAGGGTTGATCAGATGCTTCTAAGGAGCATCAAGACCCTCATCTATGGGACATCCCAGGGGCCTGTGTCCAGGACCTTGTTTCCGGATGGTGGAGCTATGCAGAGTGCTTTTTTTTTTTTACTGGCCAGCCTGCTTTTTCCAGGCAGGATCATGCAGAGTTGGGCCTAGAGAATGGTATTGACAAGCTGACACATCCTCATTCACATGAGGCGCAGAACGATTTCAGCATTCTGTCTTGCCTACCATCTACCGTTGACTTTTAAGTTTCAAATGCATGTGAAGGCCATGTGTTGGCTCTTTGAGTTTTCACCACAGCATCACCTCAAGTCCAGCACACAAAGGTGGTGAGGGGCTGCCATGGTGTTATTTACTCTGTATGTACCCTCAGTGGCACCTAGGATTGTCAGTCCACCCCCTCACCAGGCAGTCTTAGGGGAGCGGACTTATCTCTTCAGAGGACAGACAAGTGCTATGCAAAGCCAACAGGCCCTTCATTTGATATCCTCTTTTGCTTCTTACTGATGCAGTGATGTTTTACTCACCCTGGTCTGTCTTTAGCTGTACCACATGAGGAACAGACATTTCTTGTGAGAATGAGACTGTTCTGTCCACCCTACCTAAGGGCTTTTGCCTATTGTCCCTGCTGGTTGTGGTATATGGAAGTCGAGAGAGCAGTCAACATTGAAACCAATCAGATTATAGGAGTGCTATGATTATGACCTACTCAGTTGGGAGATGTGTAGTTCTATGTTTTTACAATGTAAATTTTTGTATGGTACATTTAACATGCCCAGAAAACAAAACGTGGTTCGCATTTTTTTCTGCATACCCTGGATATTCTTGTATTGTGGTCGTCATCAACAAAGCTCAGTAACGACTGTTGAAAGGGTCATTGGAAGCCATTATCCACAGAGAGCAGGAGGGATAATGCAGTGGTATGACTAATGATGGAACCAGCAGTAAGTGAATGGTATTAGATAATTACAGAGGCAAGAAGGTCTATATTGTTTCAATACAAACAGTTTCTAAAGAGCGTGGCATTATTGGTAATAATGTTGTTGCTACCTCTTTTCTCCCAGTGGGAGATATGAAATTAGACAGGGATGGCACACTTGGCAATAAAGGGACACAAGAGATGGTTCTTGTGTCCTGGCTCATCTTGGACAGCTATTATGGCTGAGGATTCTTTTAGTTTGAGCAAATGGGCCTAAAATCTTTGATTTCAAGTCAGTCTCATGTGTACCTTTTCCTCAGGTCTAATTCTTGACCATGGTGCTTGAGGCTATCCAGTGGTCAGAATAGATGAAGAAGGAGGAAAAGAAAGAAGAAGAAGGAAGAAGAAGGGAAAAAATTAAAAGAAGGAGGAGGAACAGATAAAGGATATACCAAGGGGGAAAAAAATGGTTCTTCTCAAGACAAAGGTCAAACATTTGAGAACTTTTAGGGGCCTCTGCAGGCTGCATAAATGAGTGTACAGCAGATGGGCTGAGATAATAAGGAGCGGTAGGAATTCTGGCTTAGTTTACATTGAGCTCCAAACAGTTATTACTATGAAAGATGCTGGGCCCAATTTTGCTAAATCTTTCAAATTTTCAAGAGAAGCTAAAATCAAATTGTTAGGTGAAATACTACTAGTTTTAAATACTGGTAACTAATTAAGACACTAAAAGTTCTGTGTGAACTTTAGGAGGTGTCTGGCTCACCTACATTCAGTTTGCCAGCTTAGCCCCAAGACCTGGAGAACAGTATAGGTTGGCAAGCCAATGACACCCAAGCCTTCCAAGAACAGGGAAATCCCTGTCAAGCAGGAGATACGGCAACTTTTGGGAAAGGAAATAGGAAATGATATCAAGAAATACAATCCAAAGAGAGTTGAAAATCAAGCATTCTTGATTAATTCTGTTATCCCTTCTAAATCCCTGCTCCCCAGCACTATGGCCCTGGATAGCTTTTTGCTTCTTCCTGGATGTAAAGTGGGAGAAGGGAATGTTGGAGTTTGGTGCCTTTCTGGGATAGTGAAAGACGGCCTGTGACCTTCAGGATGTTGTGTTAGAGACAGGGATTGAATCTAATTGCAAAGACATAATTTTTGAGGTTTTGGATGAAGAAGGATTTGGGGGAAAGTCCCCAAGGCAACTGGCCTGATGTGGACAGAAACCATTTTAAAAGCACCTCTCTTCAAGCACATGCGCTCATTGGGGCTCTGGGAAGGGTGAGGGATCAGGTTACATTGCTCAGACTAAACCAGCCATCTTAACTACACGTCAGTAGTTGGAGATATATATATATATATATATATATGTGTATATACACATCTCCAAATACACGCACACACACACACACACACACATATACATATATGCATGAAAATTAACTATGAAATAGGTTTAATAGAGACCCTTGGGAAATCATAGCCAAAATTGATGCGGCATTTACTATAGGCTCTAAGGTCTTTTGCATGTATTAACTCATTTAAATTTCACTATAGCCCTAAGGGGTTGGTGGTATTTTTATACTCCTTTTTCCAGGTGAAAATACTGATGAAAAGAGAAATTAATCACTTGCCCATGGTCACACAGCCAACAAACAGGGAACCCAGAAAAGCCAGGCAGGTTGGCTGCAAAGTCTGGGTCCATAACTAGATGATTTATCTGTAAGAGTGTATCTGTCTTTTCCCCGTCGATTTACTTAAGTTGTAAAATAAAAATCAACTGCTAATCAAGGGTGAAGAATATTAACTAGGGTTGGTAAATCAGAAGAAAAGTAAGATCACCAAGTGCTCTTTCTCAGGTTCAGATTGTTTTTTTAGCCAGGAGGCAGAGGCACTCTAGGGGAGCAGAGAGCAAAAGGACAAGTGAAATTCTTGCTATGGGAAATAATTCAGTCTTTCCTGTGTTGAGGGAACAGTTCAGGGAAACTCTTGGTCACTGTGGAAGTGGTAAATTGGCCGGGAAAATTAAGCTCTTCCCTCTTATGAACAAAGAAGAAGAAGCTAGTAAATTGGGGCTGAGTTAAAGTTTGGGGTAATACTGAGGGAGAGAGAAAGTCAATTTTAGATTAGCAGATGTCATATTGGTTGAATTTAATATTTTCCTCTTTGAACTCTTCTCTTTCATAGCACACTGTGATAAACATTAAACAAAATGTAGTTTTTCAGAAAAACTGTTTATTGGGCAACTCCGTTTGCCAGTCTCTGCGCTGGCTTTGCAGGTGTGCTGTGAATCCTCATACGTTATTATTATTCATTTTACTGAGGATGAAGATGAGACTAAATTTAAATGACTTGCTTAAGACCACAGCTAATAAGGAGCTGAGTCAGAATTTGCAACTGTTTATTGCTACAAAATCTGCACTATTTTCATTGAATTAATTTGACTTACTCAATCCTTATTTATATGAAATATAAAATGCTCTCCAAAGCTATTCTCTAGTTTCCCCTTCTTATGCCTCTAGCTACTGAGCCCATACACTTTTGTTATAACCCTGAATTTTCTAAGTGATAAGGATGGTTTCCCAGCAAAATAACAGTGTTTTTTTTTCAATTAGGAATGAGTTTACAATTACCAGACCTTCACTAGACTAATTATCTTCTATTTAACAGGCTGTATCACAGTTTTTGTAGTGGGAAATGATGGCAGATTTTAAAAGATTATCTTAAAATTGCAATTCCTCTTTTTCTCTCTATAGAGCATGGCAACTGGCAACTAATCAGCTCACTAAACATGTGGCACTCAGATTCTGCCTTCTTTAGACATTGGCCACCATCCAAAGCAATGAATAGGAAGATTTTTCTTACAAGTGACAGAATGCGTATTTAAAAAGTATCCATAAAAACTTTATCCAGAAAAGTAACTTGCTGAATTGATAATATTTTTTATAGTCATGCAGTGAAGTGTATTACACAGAGTATTTGTACATTTTGATAAGATTGTTCTATACCATGTCTTTTTAATGATTCTTCCAAGTGCATCAGTCTGGTTGCAAAGCTAATGGGTTGAGGTTGTCTGTGAAGAACTGGTCCAAACCCCTGGAGAAATTCTCTGACAGCACATAGTTGAAATCCTATTATGGCTGCTCCATAGCCAAATATTTGAGGCACCGATCAATGCTGGAAGTATAAGACAGAAAGAGGTGCAGAATGAGATTGAGGGCTCTTCATACAGCCTGTTGCTCTTTCACTTTTATTTGGTTGTATAAGCATTAAATAAAATTTTAAAAAGAGGAAAAGAAAACCTTGAGCCTCAAATTGAAAAAAAAAAAAAAGTGTTTCCTCATAGGACTACTTCATCTGTCAGCATCTCTTTTATTTCCCCTTAGTAAACCAAAACATTAGCACAGTCTTGTAGATACAAGCTACAGATTCCTCGGGGCAAATTGCACACCTTTAACTCTTTAAGGAAAAAGAATTCTGTCCCGTAATTATTATTATGTGTCAAATTTGTTATGAAGGAACATGAACTGTGTAGCTTCTCATGAGGCACTTGAAGATTAAGGCCCTCAGTCAAAAGGGAAGAGAAGAAAAGAATCAGAGTTTGCAAACTTTAAACAAAATAGAGACATCAGTATTTATTATCTGTGCATCAGTGAGATTCACAATTCTTAAAATATGCAAGCTAAACAGTTGTGAAGCAGATAAAAAAGACTACAAAACATCCAAAGAGATCGCTTATATTTACATATAAAAGAAATATCACATTGATGCATGTTAGCACTAATGATTTAAAATACTGAGCACATATTTTCTCAAAACTAAGAACAATTGTCATAAATTTTTAAAGTCCTTTAAAATATACAGTGTCAAGGGTTATGGAAACAGCACCATAAAAGTTAATATCTTGCATATATTCAAGGATTAAATTTAAAATATTTGGTATTTGGAATGAGGCTAATATAACATGAAGCTTAGGAAAAGTATGTTTGAATACATGAAAAATGAATGTAGAAATGAAGCCAGTGGAGGTGGAAAAAAGCCAGGGCACAGGAAAAAGAAAACAAAATAGGAGAAGTGTATCACATAAAAACATAAATCCTCCTGTATTATTTGGCAGATACATAATTCACATTCGTTTCATTTTTTGCAAGCCAAAATATGAATATTTTGATTTTACTGAAGGAGATGCTGGTAGAGCAGTTATAAATAAGAAAACCGTTTAGAGACTTTATAGTCCATGTAAAACCTTACTGAACTTTTAAATACCGTTTTTAAAGGACTCAGTCAACCTCTGATTGTTCTTGTTCCAATTTTACCCAATCATGTAACCAGTGGCTTTGGGAGAAACTCCTTTAGAGATGTATATTTTGCAGATCAGTGACAGAAAACAAACTGCTTTTCTTTCTTGTGGTCTGCTACTACTCCTCGTGTTGTATTAGGCAGGGTTCTCTAGAGGGATAGAACTAATGGAATATACATGTATGAGTTTATTAAGTATGAATAAATATATATGAGTTTATTAAGTATTTACATACATATCAGTTTATTAAGTATGAAGTCACACAATCGCAAGGTCCCACAATAGACTGCAGGCTGAGGAGCAAAGAGAGCCAGTCCAAGTTCCAAAACCGAGGAACTTGGAGTCCGATGTTCAAGGGTAGGAAGCATCCAGCACAGGAGAAAGATGTAGGCTGGGAGGCTAGGCCAGTCTCTCTTTTTACATTTTTCTGCCTGCTTTACATTCTAGGCATGCTGGCAACTGATTAGATGGTGCCCACCCAGATTAAGGGTGGGTCTGCCTTTCCCAGCCCACTCATTCAAATGTTAATCTTCTTTGGCAACACCCTCACAAACACACCCAGGATCAATAATTTGTATCCTTCAATCCAATCAGGTTGACACAGTATTAACCATCACATATGTGTTAGAGGACTCTGCAGTTATCCAAAACACGGAATGAGAAAGCAGTGTTGCAGATGGCGGCATACAGAAGGGGCAGCATGTAAGAGCAATGAATATAGACTGTACTTATTGCAGGTTCGCTTTCAGGGCTGAATTTCCAAGAAAGATGTGGATATTATTCTCTACTTTGGGGACTGTTATTTTCCCACTTTTTTCAGAGGTTCTTCATTGTTGTCCAGATTCAGGTTATTAAGGTCAGGACTCTTCTCCTTGACTGTGAACACCACTTCGTAGCCAAGCAAGGTTTGAGGAAGACATTGACAGGCATTGTTTGTAGGGAGAGACTCATTTCTTAGGAGCCAGACATGCCAGGGACTTTACATGTTGTAGCAGTCAGGATCCTAGAAAGAAACAGATGGCACACTCAAACAGGGGTAAGTGAGGAGAATTTAATAAAGACATGCTTTACAAAGGTGTGTGCAGGGTTGTTTTAGGGAAACTGGCAAAGGCAGTGCAGAACTAGCAAAGGTAGGGAAGCCTTGAGCACCAAAGCACCAGGAGATGGAGCAGCTGGAGTACTCCAGAGAGAGAAGGGGCTTCTTAACAAAAGCTATGACCTTCAATAGGTTGGCACAGTTTACCTAGAGAAGACCAAGCAAAAGAACGGGGGAAATCAATATCCTGACTACGCTTTTCTGTCTTCTCAAAATCCTTTTGGTCTCTTCCATCTGCCACTCCAAGCTAGAAGCCAGAGGGCAAGGTTGCCCATTGATTTAGTTGATAAATGTCAGCTATCTAGAGCACAGAAGAGTGTAGAAGATGGGCAAGTAGAATTGGAGAAGGAAATGAAGAATATCTAGAATAAGTGTTGCACAGGGGACATAACATCTCACTCACCCTTTACCATATCCTAATAAGAAACACATTACTAATATCTGCAGTTTATGCTTAGGAAAACTTAAATCCAGAAGGTCAAGGAATTTTTACAAGAACACACAGGTAATAAGTGACAGCACCAATATTGAAATCTAGGTCTTCTCAATCTAAACCTTTTTTTTTCCTTTTTTAAAGAAAAAACTATATGAAGTTTCTCACAGGAAAGTGAGAGGGTTGGTGGGGGTCGGAAATAAAAGCACAAGAAATGGGAGAAAAACAAGACTAGGGAACAAATGTAACTATATTTACTGAGCACTGGCTATGCCCCAGGCACTGGTTTAAGCTTTTTATATTCAGCATCCCATAGATCTTCTCAACTCTATGAACCAGGTACTGGTATCCCTGTTTAGAGAGGAGGAAGCAGACCCTTAGAAGACTCAGTAAGTCAACAGGGTCACTCAGGCAGAAAGCAGTAGACTCAGAACTGGAACCTATGTAGATTCTAGAATTCATACTCCTAACAATTAAATTATAGAGAATGTGGATGGGAAAAAAGAAAAAAAAAAGTCTGAGTGTCTGGCAAAATTGTCCCAAACTCTCAGGTATCCTAAATGCTTTTTCTTAATATAGTAAGATCACTCTTTTCTTTCTGTTTCCGTTCTGTTCACTTTGCTATTTATGTGTTATAACATCGAAGGTGATGATGGTGGCAGAAAGAAGGACATAAATGCAACTTGGGCCATTTTTTTATTTTGGGAAAAACTGTGCATATCCGAAAGGAATATTCAAATCTGAATTCACCATATTCCCTCTTAAATGTACTCCTCTTTATATATGCTCCCTCAATTAATGGCACAATCTACATTTTATTCTTACCAAAAACCTGGGACTTTCTCATATTATTATATTGCTATTATTATTTACTAGATTCCTCTGAATGATTCTTTAAAATCACTTTCTATTATTCTGAAAGCACTGCAGCCCTTTTTAGAATATGTGTTGTGCTTCTTTGAAATTGTTTAGTTATATATGTCTATTATCAGGCACTGTGTCTTTTGCAGCTACTTTTCAGTCCCCAGTATGATGCCTGGTACATAGTAGTGCTTCAATAAGTGGTTTTTGAATGACCAAATGGAAATCGGGCCTCTGTAACTTCTCTGTGTAATAGAAAGCATCTGACTTGCAGTGAGCATATTGAGAAATGGATGTCTCAGATTTTCCAGCCTTTCTCTCCTAGCAAAGGCCAGATAAGGCTGTGATAGTCTGACTTCCTTTTTGTTGCTTTTGATGTCTCACCTGATGTAAGCCCTGCTGCTTTTTAAAATGTCAGACTGACTTGGAGTCAACTCTTTGATTTGCTGTTTCGTGGGGTTTGCAGATCCTGAGTTAGGTGCATTTTGATTCTCTCTGTTTTTATTTCCATGAACTCTTCCAGAGGACATGGGTCAGGAAGACTTCAAGGTTAACTGATGACTAACTGGCATTTTCAACCAACAAGACTATGTTTTTAAACTTGCAAATACATTGGACAGCTAGTCAAATGTTTTGGCACTTGTCCCTATTATTAGTAATGACTTAAAACCAGAGGTGTTGGCGAAGAATTCTTGAATTGAAGGTACCAAAGTAGAGTTTCTTTAAGGTCAATGAACGTAAAGGAAAAGGCTTTTGCTTCCAATGGAGGTGTGCACAGCTTGCACTGAAGAAAGAAGCATGTGAGGCTACACTCTCCAGGCTTTTAATGCTACTTAAAATGTCTTTTCTGCCACAGAGGTAGATGCATTCCAAATCTCTCTCTGTTTCTCTCTCTTTCCTACAATGATAATTTTCACTGGTGCTCAACTTATCTTTCTGCCAGCCATCTTGCTGAGAAAAGAGCCCAGCCCCTCAGCACCGCCTGGGCACTGTAGCTTTTGTTTCTAGTGGATTGTTTTCTCTGATGGCAACCTCTTGTCTTGAACTGACATTCTGCCCTGCTCACTGCTCCCAGTGTCCTCTGTTATATCAACATCTGCAGCAGCTGCTGCTTCTTTGGCTGAAAAGTCTCAATGTTTGCCTTTAAAATGTCATTCCTTCACCTCTCTCAGTACTCAGACTTACTCATCAGTTTGTTTCCAGTTGTCCTCAAATGTGTTCAGAATAAATGATGCACAAAGGACAGTTTAAACATAGCAAAGCAGCTGTAGGCAAGGCATCTCCAGCTCACCGGGCTATTCTTTCATAATAAAATGTGTCACATTGTCATTCGAATGTGTCTCTGGCACAGAAGACACTGGCTGTGTATCAGCTGTGGCAATAACAACATGTTTAGTGGTTGCCAAGCCAAGAGGGAAAAAAGATTAAATGAAGAAGGTGTAGAAAGATCAGTTAATGTGAGTTGCCTTCCTTTGCTTTTTCCTAAATTTAACTTTCAAAAATGTTGTTTATAACTGACACATGATAATTTATTCATCTTATTTTATTATTTTATTTTATTTTTATTTTACTTTAAGTTCTGGGATATATGTGCAGAATGTGCAGGTTTGTTCCAGAGATATACTTGTGCCATGGTGGTTTGCTGCACCTATCAACCTATCACCTGGGTTTTAAGCCCTGCATGCATTAGGTATTTGTCCTAATGCTCTCCCTCCCCTTGTCTCCCACTCGCTGACTGGCCTTGGTGTGTAATGTTCCCCTCCCTGTGATAATTTTACATGTTTACATTTTTTACATGATAATTTTACATGTTTATGGGGTACAATGTGATGTTTTAATACCCCTGTATATTGTATAATGATTGAGTTTGGGTAGATAGCATAGCCATCACTTCAAACATTTATAATTTCTTTGTAGTGATGACATTCAAGATCCTCTTTGTTAGCTGCCTTGAAAAATATAATAGATTTTTATTAACTATAGTCACCCTACTATGTAATAGAACACTGGAATATATTCTTCCTACCTAACTGTAACTTTGTACTTAATCACTCTTTCCTCCACCCCTCCTAAGCCTCTGGTAATCACTCTTCTATAATCTCTACTTGCATGAGATCAACTTTTTAAGATTCCGTTTATTAGTGAGATCATGTGGTATTTGTTTTTCTGGCTTATTTCACTTAACATAATGTCCTCCAGGTTCATCCATGTTGCCACAGATGGAAGGATTTCATTCTTTTTAATGGTTAAACAGTATTCCATTGTGCATATAGACCACATTTGCTTTATCCTTTCTTCTGCTGAAGAATATTTGGTTCCATCTCTTGGCTATTGTGAGTAGTGCTGCAATAAACACGGGGGTACAGATCTCTCTTTGACATGCTGATTTCATTTCCTTTGCATATATACCCAGAAATGGGATTGCTACATCATATGGTAGTTCTATTTTTAATGTTTTCAGGAAGCCCTATTCTGTTTTCCATAATAGCTATACTAATTTACACTAACACAAAAATGTATAAGAGTTCTCCTTTCTCTGTACCCTTGCCAGCATTTTTTTTTTTTTTGTCTTATTGTAGTAGCCCTTCTAACTTTGAGAACTTGGAGTTTGATGTTCAAGGATAGGAAGCATCCAGCACAGGAGAAAGACAGGCTGAGAGGCTAGGCCAGTCTCTCTTCTCATGTAGTAAGATGATATTACTATCTCACTGTGGTTTTGATTTGCATTTGCCTGATGATTAATGATGCTGAGCATTTTTATGTGTGCTGGCCTTTTTATTCTTCTGAGAAATTTCTATTCAGATCATTTGCCCATTTTTAGATTAGTTGTTTCAGTTCCTTATATATTTTGGATATTAACCCCTAATTAGATGTATGACTTCGAAGTATTTTTTCCCATTCTGTAGGTTGTCTTTTCACTCTGTTGATTACTATTTTTGCTGTGCAGAAGCTTTTTAGTTTGATGTAATCCCATTTGTCTATGTTTGCTTTTGTTGCCTGTGCTTTTGAAGTTGTATCCAAGAAATCCTTTTCCAGTCCCATATCACAAAGTGTTTCCTCTGTGTTTTCTTCCAGTAGCTTCTAGCAGTTGTAGTTTCAGTTCTTTCTCACTGTCCTCATTATCAAGTTGGCCTTAACCATGGCAAAAAGCTAGTAATTTATCTCTTGCCTGCCAATACTTTGACCATTTCTCTCCATGGCATCTTTGCACCTTAACCACATTGAAGGCTTGCTTAGACTTCTCAAGTTCAGTGTTTTACCATCTTGGAAATTAGAATATGGTAAGACCAATGGAAACTTTTTTTGTGAAATATCAATTACCATACATATATGAGGTATTATCATGCAGTAAGCATGCTGAAACCTCACTCAGAATTCAAACATGGTCTCTTCTTCGGGCATAAGAACAACGTAGCTCAATTTATATTTTTTAAAGCATTAAGTTAACTTATTAAAGTGACATTGCTACCTCACTGCCACTAGGGCATGATTTTGATTATTTTTCTAGTGGCTAATTGATGAGTAAAATAGATACATTTCCACTGTGTGGTCTGCCTCTTCCATGATCTATTTGCCTCATGGTTAGCTAGGGTTAAGGGTTCAGTCTGTGGCCAAGAGTAGGGTGAAGCCA
This sequence comes from Homo sapiens, assembly GCF_000001405.40. Classification (NCBI taxonomy): domain Eukaryota; kingdom Metazoa; phylum Chordata; class Mammalia; order Primates; family Hominidae; genus Homo; species Homo sapiens. Next base: position 60,443 of record NT_187549.1, read on the forward strand.
TATGACCCATTTAGGTTTTAAATCTATCACTTCAACGTCATAAAAAATAACTAACCACAAACACAGGCATTAGAAAGTAAAATTCCCATCCTGGCATGTTCAGTCTTAACTTTTGAGATCAAAGGAGTTGCAAAATAATTATATTTTTACGCCTGTATCACTCCACAAAAGTCGTCTCGTGCTCTTTGTTAATATGCTTCAAATAAGAAAACATCAGCCTGCCTTTTATTGCTATAGAGCAAACATTGTGTACTTCTTTCTATGTACTAAAAGCTTTACTTAAATGCCCTGTGTTAAATTGGTTATTCCCTACAAAGCTCTACGAAATAGCTATTATTCCAGTATTACAGATGGATAAACTGAGGCATATAGAGATTAAATAACATGATAAGTGGTAGAACTGGTATTTAAGCTGAAGCTGTAGCTGCAAAGACTATGACCACTATGCAATCCTGCTCTCTACCCCCAGTGATCTTGAGCTACTGCCATCTGCAACAAGCACAGACTTGCTTTCTCCTTTTATTTTTCCTTTTTTGTCATGATTCTATGTATTCATGGTCCAATTCAAATGTCAGCTCTCTCAATCACTTTGCCTGGCACCTTCACCCAAATAGTAATTATAATAGTTTATCAGTATTCCCATAGTACTTTATTCTTTCTTTTATCTTGACACCATATACTAATGCAGATATTCATCTATGTCTCTTTCTTTCCTAGCAGGCTGGGAACAACAGAGTTGTTACATCTTATATTTCCAGAATCTATATAACATCTGGCCTATAGTAAGAACTCAATAATGATTTATTACATTAAATTGAAATAAAATAGTTGATACTGGGCCTTAGTATGAATCTGAAACATAACTGAAACATATCTGAAACATAATTGTAACATATCTGAAAACTTCATTAAATGTTCTTTCATTTTACTTTGCCAAATGCCAGTCTGGTTACAAGCTGACACAGTTATACCATAGAGTTTAAAGTTGAAAGCAAAATGATTTTGTGTCTTCCTTGATTATGGCTTCCTCAGTGCACTGTTATGAAAAAAGTCGATTGTATGTTTCCTGCTAGCCTTTTTCCTTCAGTGTAGCTCCCTATGTGCATGGAGTGGGTCACATATGTTTTCTCCATGTTGCTGGTATGCTTTGGACATGGACATCACCATGAGTAGTATCTGTCTCTCTAACTATCCATCATCATGTCACATTAGACTTTAGTAAGTCCTCGTAAAGGCATAGAAAAGAAAAAAAAAAGCAATCCCATCTCCTTGAAGAGAAGATTTCATTTATGCTTGAAGATGTAATTGACAGTTACCCTATATTGGTCAATGATGGGCATTCAACTTCCTCTCTTTTAATCATTTTCCACAACCATTCCATCACCAAGATATGTCAGCAAAACCTTCATGATATATCTTAAACCTGACCAATTTTGTACTACTACCACTCTAGTCCCTCTCTTGTCTGAACTCATATTTGTTATAGAATAACTTTCCTAACTTGCTGTCTGGTTTTCATTCTTGATGAAATAGTCTCCACCTGCAATCACAGTGAGAACTTGAAATTGTAAATTAAAGCATGTCACTCCTCTGTTTTCAAACCTCCATTGGCTTCCTTCCTCCCTCCCTCCCTCCCTTCCTTCCTTCCTTTCTTCCTTCCTTCCTCTCTTTCCTTCTTTCCTTCCTTCCCTCCTTCCTCTCTCTTTCCTTCCTTCCTTCCTCTCTGTCTTTCCTTCCTTCCTTCCTTTCTTCCTTCCTTCCTCTCTGTCTTTCCTTCCTTTCTTCCCTTCTTCCTTCCTTCCTTTCTTCCTTCCTATCCTTCATTCGTTCCTTCATTCTTTCTTCTTTCTTTTTTTTGAGATGGAATCTTGCTCTGTCACCCAGGCTGGAGTGCAGTGGCACAGTCTTGGCTCACTGCAACCTCCACCTCCCAGGTTCAAGCAGTTCTGCCTCAGCCTCCTGAATAGCTGGAATTATAGGCAAGTGCCGCCATGCCCAGCTAATTTTATATTTTTAGTAGAGATGGGGTTTCACCATGTTGGCCAGGCTGGTCTTGAATTCCTGACTTCAGGTGATCCACCCAACTTGGCCCCTCAAAATGTTGGGATTACAGGTGTGAGCCACCACCCCTGGCCTCAACCTCCATTGGCTTTCATCACACTTAGAATAATGTCCAAAGTCATTACCATAGCTCTACATGACTTGACCCTGGCTGTCCCTTCAAACTCACTTTCTACCACTCTACTACTTCCTCACACCACGAAACGTAAACTGACTTCTCTGATGTTCCTAGAACTTGTCAAAGACATTCTTAACCCAGGGCCTTTGTACCTGCCATTAGGACCCTCTGCCTGGGATACTCTTGCCCCGCATATTCAGTGTTCACTTCTGTTTAATTTGTCAATTTGTCCCTATGCCAGAAAGTAGCTTGTCTAAAAATATTTATCTCAGACATACTCTATTCCCTTACTTACTTTATCTTTCTTCACAGCATTTTGATTTGTTTATTATGCGTTTTCTACTAGAATGTAAATGCTCTGAGATCAAGGACTGCTTTGTTCATAATTTTATTCCTAGCAGATACATATGGTACATAGTAGATAGTCAATAAATATGTGTTGAATAAGTGAAATTTAATTTAGTTCTAGACCTAACATATGGGCTCTTAATAGCATCTTTGCTTAAGTGTTGGAAAATTTGAGTTGCTCAATTTCAACAACTACTAGTAACCTTTCAGGAAAATTGTTGCAAATACTTAGTTCTTTAGATTTTGAAGAATGTTACTGATATAGGAATAAAACAAAAGATTTACAGACAGAGCAATGGAGAGAGTAATTGGAAAAGAGAAAGATGGAGTTCTTATTGTTTTCAACAATTTAAAGTGTGAATACTGTGTTGAACCACTTTGCATATAAAGATCCACTGAAACCTTGTTAATATGACTGATAAAAATGATAGGAATAGATATTTAGATCTTTTTAAGCCTCAGTTAGTAGCCAGTAGATTTGAGGTAATGCCTTAGACTTTACACTTTGCCAAGGTTTGCCAAATTTGCAATCCTTTTGGAAAATGTTATCTGAGCCTGGCTGGGTACCTGGGAAAGATTTATGGAAGGAGATAAACGTTACAAATAGGAGGAGGAATTCATTGCATTCTTTGTGGGTTGCAGTTGAAGCATACTGGAAGTTACAAGCCTCTGTGTCTTTCACTTTGGATACTTGGCTGCATTTAAACTCCATAAGCAAAAATTTGTATAAAAGTAGCATCAGCTGATAAAGCCTAGACTCACATAGCTCAAACATTTAGTTTGAATGACTCAATTGCACTCTTACTCGGTGAATTTCTAAAGGAAACTATTTAATATGCTTAGTATATCATAATACTTCCCATGTCATCTATTTTAAAACACAGCTCATATATAAGTTGACAGCATCCCACAGCTCTGACCCCAGTGGTGGTGCTGACAATAACTGGGCAATTCACTGAAAACCACAAGATACAGTTTGCACTGTGGATTTGATAATGGGTTGTATGTAGCCTTTCACTATTGGAGAAACAAAGTTACATAATTTTGGAGAAGTAAGAGACTTTACATGGCATCTGCTCAGACTCTTGCTCTTTACAATTACCAGAAACTAGTCCCCAAGCAGGAACGTGGCAAGCCATTTTCATCAACAAATGAGCTGGCCGTAGAGCTGAAACTGGAATATGGTCTTCTGATTGCTAGTCGAGAGATCTTTTATTTTGGTGGGGTTGGGGAGCATACTTTATTGTAAGTTTCACCAGTGTGGGACGCATAATTTTGGCCCCCATGACCTTCAGCTCTTGATGTTATATCTATAAATATGGTTTCTCACATGCTGAATGGGACTTTCCAGATGTAAGTAAGGTTACTAATCAGCTGACATTAGCGTAGAGAAATTATCCTGGATTATCTGGTTGCAACCAATGTAATCACATAAACTCTTAAAAGGAGACAAGAGAACAGCAAGATAGGAAGTAGAAGAAGGATCAGACATGCCACTGATAGCTTAGAAATGGAGAGTTCAGGAGCCAAGGAATGTGGGCAGCCATGAGAAGCTTCAACTAACAGCCAACAAGGAAATGAAAACCTTAGTCCCGCAGCCATGTGGAACTAAACCTGCCAACAACTTGAATGAGCCTTGAAGTGGATCTTTCCCAGAGCCTCCATAAGAGAATGTAGTCTCAATAATACCTTGATTTCAATTTCAGAATTCAGCTGAATCATGAAAGAAACCATGGGTGTTGTTTTAAGCCACTAAGTTTTTGGTATTTATTTTTTTACAGCAGCAATAGAAAAAGGAAGTAACCAATTTGTTAAAATGCTTCTCCCATCTTTTCTTAACCTTTGACAAGTATCCTTACAAGAGTGGCAACATTTCCTTCCCTACATAGGGAAATGTTTATGAAAATATCAAATTGCATATAACCTTCACTCGTGCACTAACAGGGCTTCACCCATCTGGGGAAAGTGTCCTTCAGATCTTTCTGGAGGTCTCCAGTGGGATGGATTACTTATGTCCTCTCACCAGTTGCCCCTTTCTCTCCTTCTCTGGCCCCTCTTGCCCATTTCCAGTGCTTCGTCAATGTCCCAGTACATCATGAGGTGACTGACATGCACGATAAGGGAGATGCTGCAGGATGCTCCCCAAGCTTTGAATTCCAAGGAGCAGGAGCTTGGTTGGTTCTGCACAGAGGCAGGGAGAACAGCCTTTCCTGTCTCAGAGCCACTCATAGTCACTGGGCTCCAAAGCGGCTCTCCTGGTGCCTGGGGGCCTCATGAGGTCTTTTCTGTTTTCTGTGAAGAACCTCACGAGATTCCTTCATTGCCTTCCACTTTGTAGCATCTCCTTCTAGAAGGAGAATGAAAACCACTTTATAAGACATGATATAGGAATACTGCCCTCCTCTTTCCCTTGGCTCCTCACCCACTGAAACATCTCTTCTCTCAGTTGTAAAACAAAAACTCTCAACTACTCTAATGAATACAAGCCAGAGAGTAGGCATGAGTGTATGTGTGTTTGTGTGTGTGTGTGTAATTACTAGTGCTAATCAGCAGAAATGTTCCCTATACATCTATGAATATGAGTCATTGCCACCTGATTAAAATAAATCAGACAACCTTTACAGTGTCTCCCAATATATATTGATAATAGGCATTGTAGTCGACTGAGGGGTGTTCCTCAAAAAGATATGTCCACCTGCCAATCACCAGAACCAGTGAACATTGCTTTATAAGGCAAAAAGATGAAATTAAGTTAAAGATTTTGAGAGGAGGAGTTTGTCCTGGATTATTTGATGGGCCCCAGATCCAATGACAAGTGTTCTTCTAAGAGTGAGGCAGAGTGGGGATTTTGACAGACACACCAGGAGGAAGACAGACAGAAGAGGAGGCAACATGGCCTTGGAGGCAGAGATTGAAGTGATCCACCCTCAAGCCAAAAAAAAAAAAAAAAAATGCCTGTAGACAGCAGACACTGGAAGACAGAAGTACATGATTCTCCCCAGGTGTCTCTGACTGGAGGGAGTGTAGTCCTCCTGAGTCCTTGATTTCAGACTCCTGGCCTCCAGTATGATGAGAAAATAAATTTCTCTTGTCTTAAGCCAAGGTTACAGTAATTTGTTATGGCAGCTGCAGAATACTAATATAGACAACACACTGTTAGCTTTTAAAATTGTGTAAAACACACAAAACTCCATCTGTTCTAGACACTTGTTTGTAAACAGAGGAACTTTACTACACGCAAATTAGTGTTAATACTATCAGAAGTTGAACTTAGAATATTAGGTGTAAGTATTTGTCAATGTGATCGCTCCCCTTAAAAGCCTGTAACGTTGTTGTACTGGATATTGCTAATCAATTTATATTATTGAAAGCTTACTCTGAGTAGATCAAATCAATATGCCAGAAACCATAAGGGAGGGGGGAAACAGTGAATACGATGAAATAGTAATAGTAATAATAATAATAATATCTGGCACTATTCTAAGTGCTTTGCATATAATACACTTCACCTTTACAACATCCCTGTGAGGCTGGAACTTTTATTATCCCACTCTACAGAACACCGAGTCACTGAGAGGTTAGGCAACTTGCCCAGGGTCCTAGAGATGGTAAGTCGCAGAGCTGAGATTCAGTTTGTACTCATTTGACTGCCACTAACCTTGGGTGATGGCGAGAAGTAGACCTCAGAGGATAGAGAAACTTTCAATTGCTGTCATGCCCAGCTGCAAATAAACTTCAAAAAAGTCACCACCATCTGATAATGTACTTCCTATGTAGGATAATTTCTGCAGAGTGTGTCCAGATTCTTAGCAGACCTGTGATAATATTAATACCTTGTTCTAAGTATCCAGTTTTCTCCTTAGGGCTGGATTCACTCGTGGAGGATTGATGAGAGAGTGGGAGAATATTGCACCTAAGCTCTGTTTTTTCTTTCCTCTAATTTAGATATATGCAGATCTCAAAGTCTCTGACAATCAAGGCTCTGTTCCTACATAGGGCTTATGGGAAAGAATCGCACACCAGAACAAGATCCTTTTCACTGGAAGGATCGCTTGTCGGGGAGGCGAAGGGGGAAAGACATGGTAATGCCTGTTTGTTTGACTTCTCTCAGCCCCTTCTTTGGAGCAGTTTTGAATTTTTTGGCTCGGCTGCCCCATCACAGGCAGATGTTTGAAGCTCTTGTGCTCCATGAAGGTGAAAGAAGCAGACAACTGCCTCTTTTGTTTCTCTTTGTTAAGTGTTTTTTTTCTGACAGTCTCACTCTGTTGCCCAGGCTAGAGTGCAGTGGTAAGATCTTGGCTCACTGCAAACTCTGCCTCCCAGGTTCAAGGGATTCTCTTGCCTCCGCCTCCCGAATAGCTGGGATTACAGGTGCGTGCCACTATGTCCAGCTAATTTTTGTATTTTTAGTAGAGATGGGATTTTGCCACGTTAGCCAGGCTGGTCTCGAACTCCTGACCTTAGGTGATCCTCCCACCTCGGCCTCCCAAAGGGCTGGGATTACAGGTGTGAGCCACTGCGCCTGGCCTCTTACTTCTCTTTTTCACCAAGCTGATGGACAAGAGGCTGTGAACTTTGATATACCAAAGAATCATGGGGTATGTGAGGGTTGAAACTGCAGCAAACAGATGCCTTCTTTATAGCTGGAGAGGCTGTGAGAAGAGACTGTCCTGTGGGCAAGAACTCTGGATGTATGAGACAGTGTGCCAAAACAGTTAACAGAAATTATGAAGCAATTTCGATTTATGTTGCAGCAAAAAGAAGAAGGAACAGAGGAAATTGAACTTCCAGTGAGGTCTGATAATTAAACTCAGGCATACTGACAGGGTAGGTGAACACAACAGATAAATAACTACTTTCCGGTAATTATAAGGCAGGATGGTAACATATTAGACAAGCTGGCTTGCTCGGTATTTTCAAGGCTGACATTTCGATTCTAGGGGATATTTGGATCTGTGCTAACAGATTTCTTTCTTTTTCCACACTTGCTTTTCCTTTTCCACTCCCTATTGCTTGCTGAAAATAAAATGTGATTTTAAAGTGCCACTGTTCAGCATGTTTCATGCGTCTGCTTCGCCTCACATAGCCGACCTCAAAACCCACTGCTGCTGGACGCAGTTGCTGAAGTGGTGTCTGCTTTTCTAAAAACTGTAATTATTTAAAAGATTTTAATCAGATGTCCCCTATTAGAAGAAAATGGTGCAAATCACATAGTCCATTTACAATCCTTCCTTGGCCATAGACTGCTAAAGCTTTTAACAAATCATTTCATAGCACAAACACTTCTTTTCACAAGAAGGAAATGGAGGCAATGGGTTCTTGTCTAAGACGCACTGTTTTCAACAGAAATAAAGCAGACACTTAAGTCAAGGGAACAAAACCACTCTCTTTTGTGAATGGGGATCACTCTCAGACACCCAATTTTCCTTCTGTCTTTAAGAATAATGTTACAATACTTTTAAAAGGGGAATTTACATAATAGAATACAGATGTTGCCCTTTTCTATGTGATGTGTAGACTGTAGATTGTGTGCTATATAGACTTGATTTTCAGGCAGAAATTTTAAAATGAGTGTTTTTTTCATGGTCTGTCCTATAATCAAACCATCTCATGAAGAATGAAGATCTGTCCCTGTGGGTCTCTAGCCTCAAGGATCTGCTGTGTCGTGACTCAAATTCCAGATGGTGTAGATTTACTTTGTTGACCCAAACCCCATGTTTTCTTTCTTTTTTTTCTTTTAATTTAAAAAAACAGTATCATAATTTATTGATTGCTCTTGGGGAATGAACTTCCAATGCCCATCTTGTGGCCTGGCAGGGAGAAATTTCCCAGTTCTGTTTGAGCGAGCTGTCCACTCCACTTGGCACTTGAACAGGCTAAAACGGAATGTCTTTTGTTGTAAACACCTAATTTGTTCATTTTGAACTGTCTGAGTAACTAGATCAAAGACCAGTGTCAAATGCCCAAAGCAGTGTTTGTCAGCAGTGGACTTTTTATTCTTCTTGTTCTATAGCAACTGAAAGAGAAAAAGACTCGTACTGTATTTCCACAAAAGCGTAGGGAAGCTCGCGTTGGCAGCCTCTTGCGACAGAATGAATACATGCTACTGAGTACAGACCATTTGTCTCCTGATTACAACAGACCCCAGGGGAACTGGTGTTGGCTTTGAATTCCACCTCTCTTTTACTGAGCGCCTCCTCGCCGTGATGGTTCCACCCCCAATCCTCACAGCACAGAGCGTCAGGGACTCAGATCTCCTCTCTGCTGTGGGTTTTAGTCAGCTTTCTAAATTCAAACAGGGCCCTCTTGTTTGAAATGTGTTGACTTGTCTTGAACAGTAACATATATTTTTAAACTATTCTCATTTGGAATTCAGCAGTGGCCATAATGAATGCCTTTAGTGCTCCTGTGTGTTTCATATGCATGATAACAAGGGCTTCGGTGTAGAGGAAGGAAACAGAGAATGACGACCTAAAAAGTCACCCAGTTCCTAATATTAAAAATGGTACAAAAATGGTAGAGCATATGATGGTCTTACTAGTTATGTGTGAACCCACCTGATCATTTTTCCCATTGATTTATAAGGGCTCACGTTGTTTTTCTCCGTGCAGAATTGTTGTTTGGAAATGGACAAGAATGTGTCTTTATTATGCTAAGAGTACAGCTTTATTATTAGGCAGTCTTGAGGGCTGCTGGGATGCATTCTCCTTAATTACACCTATTTTCACTGATATTCCCTAAGAACTGCTCTGCTCATATTTCCATTGGAAGGCCAAGTTCAGCCTGAAAGGTTCACTTCCTACTTAACAGCAGTTGCAGTCATTAACATTTTTTTTTCTTGTTTAGTTTTGCTTTACTGTTCATTTCCTTTAAAGGAAAGTAGATCATAAAACATTCGTGAAAGTTTCCTTTATTTCAGATTAGCTGAATTTATTTTACACATTTGTCTCTGTTTTTTCTTATATTCTTATTCACTTTATTGTCTACCTTTGCAGTTATTTTTTTCTTATATTAAGAAAGAGAAAAGAAGCGAGCTGTCATTTGGCAGTCTCTTTTCCATTATGTTTGCACTGCTGGGAAACGCTGGAACAAAGGCATTCAAAGTGTTACTGAATGGGGCTCAGCATTCAGCCCTGCTGGTGAGGCTGCAATCAGTCCGACTAGGATGAAAATGCGTGCTTTTCAACACTGGTTGGAGATGTTTGTATTTATCTTTGGAATGCATGCCTGGTCCATGCAGTCATGTGATGTGTTTTTGCCATGTCCTTATGTGTCCCAGCTTTTTCTGTGGTAGGATGGAAGAAATGGAATGTGACCCATTAACCCTTAGTCGGTATGAAGTAGTCCAACAGATACTTCTCAAACACAAAGAGTCCCTGCTCACGTCAAAGTCAATTTCTAAAACACGTTTTTATCCGGGATTTAGTTCCTGTCCTGTTCTAGCCAGATGTGCATGTGGACAAGCTATGCCACTTCTGCTGACACGTTGGTAGTGAACAGTTCTGGGGTCATAAATAGCAATAATGGGATGAACCAAACAGGCAGTAGGTGTCCTCAGGCCTGGAAAAGGCATAGGAGGGTTAAAGTGGTTACTTAAGTCACACTGTTTATGTCTCCCATGTGCTAATGAAGATATAGAACATTTCTACCACCCCAAAAATTTTATTGTGCCATCTCACTGTCAGTTTCATCCCCAGCCTACAAGTATCCCTGTAGATTAATTTTTCTGTGAACACATTTTCTTTTGAATTGCCAAACCATGTCATATAATGTGTATGGCACATCAGAAAAACGGATAGTACTGCTTTTGGACTTGAGGTCTTAGGTTTAATTTCTATTAACACTTGAATTCATCTGACAATATCAAACGCAATCTCTGTGTGTTAAAGATTTGTTGCAAACTGTTCTTTAATTTTCCCCCCTAAACTATTTAGTACTAATGACAATTCCTGAAAAATAAAGAGACTCAGTGGATGTTATAGGTATCTGGTTTATAAACTACTAAGCAAAGGTCTTTCAAGTTAAAGTTTGAAATGGGCACAAAGGCTCCAAGAGTCCTTAGAATGAAAGTGTCATGGCACATTTGCAACTCTTTTAAAAACCTCTTTGAGGCTGAGTGCGTTTACGCCTGTAATCCCAGCAATTTGGGAGGCCGAGACGGGCAGATCATTTGAGGTCAGGAGTTCGAGACCGGCCTGGCCAACGTGGTGAAACCCTGTCTCTACTATACATACAGAAAAATTAGCTGGGTGTGGTGGTGTATGCCCGTAATCCCAGCTACTCAGGAGGCTGAGGCAGAAGAATTGTTTGAAGCTGGGAGACGGAGGATGCAAGGATGCAGTGAGCCGAGATCACGCCACTGCACTCCAGCCTGGGCAACAGAGTGAGACTCCATCTCAAAAGGAAAAGAAAAAACAATAACAAAACAACAAGAGCAAAATAAAAAAAAAAATTCCACCTCTTTGAGAGCTCGTTTGAAGTTTCTAGCAGGGGAGGGTAGCTACCCGTATACCCTTGATGGAAGGCCGGCCCTCCTCTATGAGGGATGGTTATCCTCTTTGAGCATGCAGCTTCGGGAGGGACGCACGAGGAGCGGTAAGGAAGGGAGGGGACACCTGCCCAGCCAACCGGATCAGCCAAATCAACCTTGGCGATCAATGGGGTGACATGTGTCGCAGCCAGATCACCCTCACATCCATTAACTCTTAAAACACTTCTTTGGATTCGCTAAAACTCTCCTTCTCTCTGTAGAACACAGTGACTAATGTCCATCATTCTCTCTCTGCAATCATCTAGCTAGCGGGCTGTTCTCAGGGGGGTTGTGCATTTGCCTCACCTGTTGAATTGGTGCCTACCAAGCATTTATTATGTTTATACTACACAAGTTTTACTTCCTGTTGTTATTATTTAATTTAATAAATATTACACCAAGTGGCAAAATACGAATGTCAGGAAAACAGTTTTGGGTTTCTCTGGAGAGAAATTTAATGCCAAGGAAAGACAAAGTTTTTTTTTGTTTTTTTTTTTGTTTGTTTGTTTTTTAAAGAAACCCCAAAACTTGCTATCAAATTAAGTGGATAAGACAACTATTAAAAAAAAAAAAGAGGAAAGAATGGCTCTTTAAATTCTAAGACATCTAAAGAAACAATCGGAATTCAAAGCTGATGCATCATGGAAGTCTTTCTTTTCTTTCTTTCTTTCTTTCTTTCTTTCTTTCTTTCTTTCTTTCTTTTTCTTTCTTCCTTTCCTTCTTTCTTTCTTTCTTTCTTTCTCTTTCTTTCTTTCTTTCTTTTTTCTTTCTTTATTTCTTTCTTTGTTTCTTTCTTTCTTTCTTTTCTCTCTCTCTCTCTCTTCCTTTCCTTCCTTTCTTTCTTTTTTTTTCGGTTCTCCCTTTGTCGCCCAGGCTGGAGTGCTGCAGTGTCGTAATCATGGGTTACTGCAACCTTTGCCTCCCAGGCTCAGATGATTCTTCCACCTCAGCCTCCCAAGTTGCTGGGACTACAGGCATGCAGCACCACACCTGGCTAATTTTTGTGTTCTTGGTAGAGATGGGGTTTCGCCATGTTGCCCAGGCTGGTCTTGAACTCCTGGCCTCAAGCAATCAGCCCACCTTGGCCTCCCAATGTGCTGGCTGGGACTACAGGCATGAGTCACTGTGCCTGGCCTGTTTATTTCTATTTAATAAACAACTATCTGGCACTTTCAATGAGCCAGTGCTGTTCTAAGGATTTTTCATCCTCCTAACTACTGTGTATGGTAGGTAATATCCCTTTTGACATATAAGGAAACTGAGGCACAGAGCAGCTATGCAACTTCCTGAAAGTCACACAGGTAGCAAGTGGCAGAGCTGAGATTCAGAACACAGGAGCTTTGTCCAAAGCCTCTTTGCTTCCCACTGTCTTATCCTGCCTCTTTTTATCCACCACAGTTTATGGAACTGTCCAACTAGCACATCTACTTGCGAGGTGGGGAAGGCTGTGGTCCTTCATCAAAAGACTAAAAATAAATGAATGTCTAAACCAAATTTACATTTTAGTTAAGCTAAAATGTTTACCTTTCTTCCTTTTTAAAAATAATTTCAACAGTTTTTGGGGAACAGGTGGTGTCTGGTTACATGAATAAGTTCTTTAGTGGTGATTTCTGAGATTTTGGTGCACCCATCACCCGAGCAGTGTACTCTATACCCAATGTGTAGTCCTTCATATCTCGCCCCCTCCCCACCCTCCCCCCAAGTCCCCAAAGTCCATTAGATTATTACACCTTTGTGTACTCATAGCTTAGCTCACACTTTTAAGTGAGAACCTATGATGTTTGGTTTTTCATTTCTGAATTACTTCACTTAGAATAATGAATGGTCTCCAACTCCATCCAGGTTGCTACAAATGCCGTTATTTCATTCCTTCTTGTGGCTGAGCAGTACTACTTTTTCATGGGATTTTTTTTTTCTTTTCTTGCTGGTTTGTCAGAGTTCCTTGTAGATTCTGGATACTAGTCCTTTGTGGATGCATAGTTAGCGAAGATTTTCTTCCATGCTGTGGGTTGTCTGTTTACTCTGCTGATTTTCTTTTGCTGTGCAGAAGCTTTTGAGGTTGATTAAGTCCCACCAATTTATCTTTGTTTATGCTGTATTTGCTTTTGGGTTCTTGTTCGTTAACTCTGCCTGAGTCAATGTCTAGAAGAGTTTTTCCAACGTTATCTTCTAGAATTTTTTTGGTTTCAGGTCTTATATTTCAGTCTTTGATCCACCTTGTGTTGATTTTTGCATCAGGTGACAGATGAGGATTCAGTCTCATCCTTCTACACGTGGCTTGCCAATAATGCCAGCACCATTTGTTGAATAGGGTGTCCTTTCTCCACTTTATGTTTTTGTTTGCTTTGTCAAAGATCCATTCGCTATAAGTATTTGGCTTTATTTCTGGTTTCTCTATTTTGTTTCATTGGTCTAGATGCCTACTTTTATACCAGTACCATGCTGTTTGGTAACTATAGCCTTGTGGTATAGTTTCATGTCGGTTAATGTGATGCCTCCAGATTGTTTTTTTTGCTTAGTCTTGCTTTGGCTATGTGGGCTCTTTTTTTGGTTTCATATGGATTTCAGGATTGTTTTTTCTAGTTCTGTGAAGAATGATGATGGTATTTTGATGGGAATTGCATTAAATTTATACATTGCTTTTGGCAGTATGGTCATTTTCACAATATTGATTCTACCCATCCATGAGCATGGGATGTGTTTCCATTTGTGTCATCTATGACTTCTTTCAGCAGTGTTTTGTAGTTTTCCTTGTAGAGATCTTTCACCTCCTTGGTAAGGTATATTCCTATGTATTTTATTTTTCTTGGAGCTGTGGTATAAGGGGTTGAGTTATTGATTTGATTCTCACCTTGGTCGTTGGTGGTGTATAGCAGTGCTACTGATTTGTATACATTGATTTTGTAAAGTGGGCATCCTTGTCTTGTTCCAGTTCTCAGCAGAAATGCTTTCAAATTTTCCCCATTCAGTATACTGCTGGCTGTGGGTTTGTCATAGATGGCTTTTATTACTTTAAGATATGTCCCTTTTATGCTCATCTTGCTGAGGGTTTTAATCATAAAGCAATGCTGGATTTTGTCAAATGCTTTTTCTGCACCTGTTGAGATGATCATATGATTTTTCTTTTTACTTCTCTTTATATAGTGTATCACATTTATTGACTTGCATATGTTAAACCATCCCTGCATCCCTGGTATAAAACCCACTTGATCATGGTGTATTATTTTTTTTTTTTTGACATGCTATTAGATTCTGTTACCTAGTATTTTGTTGAGGATTTTTGCATCTGTATTTGTGAGGGATATTGGTCTGTAGTTTTCTTTTTTGTTATGTCCTTTCCTGGCTTTGGTATTAAGGTGATACTGGCTTCATAGAATGATTTATGGAGGATTTTCTCTTCCTCTATCTTTTGAAATAGTTTCAGTAGAAATTGGTACCAATTCCTCTTTGAATGTCCAATAGAATTCAGTTGTGAATCCATCTAGTCCTGGACCTATTTGTTGGCAACGTTTTTATTACTGTTCCAATCTCACTATTTGTTATTGGTCTGTTCAGAGTTTCTGTTTCTTCCTGGTTTCATCTAGGAGGGTTGTATATTTCCAGTAGTTTATCCATCTCCTCTAGGTTTTCTAGTTTGTGTGCAAAAAGGTGTTCACAGTAGTCCTGAATGATCTTTTGTTTCTGTGGTATCAGTTGTAATACCTCATTTCATTTCTAATTGAACTTATTTGGATCCTCTCTCTTGTTTAATTATTGATGTTTTAAAATCTTTTCAAAGAAACAGTTTTCTGTTTCATTTATCTTTTGTATTTTTTTTTTTTTTGCTTCAGTTTCATTTAGTTCTGCTCTGATCTTTGTTATGTCTTTTCTTTTGCTGGGTTTGTGTTTGATTTGTTCTTGTTTGTTTACTTCATTGAGATGTGAGCTTAGATTATCTATTTGTGCTCTTTCAGGCTTTTGATGTAGGCATTTAATGCTATGAACTTTCTTAGCACAGCTTTTGCTGTATCCCAGAGGTTTTGATAGGTTGTGTCACTATTATCATTCAGTTCAAAGAATTTTTAAATTTTCATCTTGATTTCATTGTTGTCCCAAAATTCATTCAGGAGTCAATTATTTAATTTCCATGTATTTGTATAGTTTTGAGGATTCCTTTTGTAGTTAATTTTCAGTTTTATTCCACTGTGGTCTGACAGAGTGCTTGATATAACTTCAGTTTTCTTAAATTTATTGAGACTTTTTTGTGGCCTATCATATGATCTATCTTGGAGAATGATCTAGGTGATGATGAATAGAATGTATATTCTACAGTTGTTGGGTAGAATGTTCTGTAAATATCTGTTAAGTCCAATTGTTCTATGTTATAGTTTAAATCCATTGTTTCTTTGTTGACTTTCTGTCTTGATGACCTGTCTAGTGTTGTCAATGCAGTATTGAAATCCCCCACTATTATTGTGTTGCCGTCTACCTCATTCCTTAGGTTTAGTAGTAATTGTTTTATAAATTTGGGAGCTTCACTCTTAGGTGTGTAAATATTTGGGATATTTTCATGTTGGACTAATCCTTTTATAATTGTATAATGTTCTTCTTTGTCCTTTTTCACTGTTATTGCATTAAAGTCCATTTTGTCTCACATAAGAATAGCTACTCCTCCTCACTTTTGGTTTCCATTTGCGTGAAATATCTTTCTCCATCCCTTTACCTTAAGTCTATGTGAGTCCTTATGCGTTAGGTGAGTCCCTTCAAGATAGCAGATACTTGGTTGGTAGAATTTATCCACTCTGCCATTCTGTATCTTTTAAGTGGGGCATTTAGGTCATTTACATTCAATGTTACTACTGAGATAGGAGGTACTGTTCTATTCATGCTAGTTATTGCCTGAACATCTTTTTTTTTCCCCATTGTGTTACTGTTTCATAGGCCCTGTGAAATTTATGCTTTCAGGAGGTCCTATTTTGGTGTATTTCCAGGTTTTGTTTCAAGATTTAGGACCCGTTTTAGCATTGCTTGTAGTGCTGGCCTGGTAGTGGCAAAGTCTCTCAGCATTTGTTTGTCTGAAAAAGACTTTATCTCTCCTTCATTTGTGAAGTGTAATTTTTCTGGATACAAAATTCTTGGCTGGCAATTATTTTGTTTGAGGAGGCTAAAGATTGGACTCCAATCCCTTCTGGCTTGAGGGTTTCTACTGAGAAATATGCTGTTAATCAGATAAGTTTTCCTTTAGAAGTTACCTTTTGCCTCACAGATCTTACGATTCTTTCCTTTGTCTTGACTTTAGATAACCTGATGACTGTGTGCCCAGGCAATGATCTTTTTGTGGTGAATTTCCCGGGTATTCTTTGAGCTTCTGGTATTTGGATGTCTAGATCTCTAGCAAGCCCAGCGAAGTTTTCCTTGATTATTTCCTCAAATAAGTTTTCTGAACTTGTAGATATTTCTTTTTCTTCCTCATGAACACCAATTATTCTTATGTTTGGTCATTTGACATAATCTCAAATTTATGGAGGCTTTGTTCATTTTCTAAAAATTTAGTTTTCTTTGTCTGTGTTGGATTGGGTTAATTCAAAAGGCTTGTCTTCGAGCTCTGAAGTTCTTTCTTCCACTTGTTTGATTCTATTGTTGAAATTTTCCAGTGTATTTTGTATTTCTCTAAGTGTGTCTTTCATTTCTAGAAGTTGTGATTGTCTTTTCTTTATGTCTATTTCTCTAAAGACTTTTTCAATCATATCCTATATTGTTTTTTGAAGTTAAGTTGATTTTCACCTTTCTCTAGTAACTCCTTGAGTAGCTTAATAAACCTGCTGAATTCTTCATCTGGCAATTCAGAGAGTTCTTCTTGGTTTAGCTAGTGTGATCTTTTGGGGTGTTATAGAACCTTTTTTTTTTTTTCATGTTATCAGAATTACTTTTCTGGTTCCTTCTCATTTGGGTCGACTCTTTCAATGGAAAGATTTGGAACTCAAGGGCTGCTGTTCAGATTTTTATGTCCCAAGTGGTGATCCCTTAATGTGGTGCTCTCTCCCTTCCCCTAGGGATGGTGCTTCCTGAGAGCTGGACTGCAGTGGTTGTTACTGTGCTTCTGAGTCTACCCACCCAGTGGGGCTACTGGGCTCTGGATTGTTGTTGCAGAATGTCTGCAAAGAATCCTGTTATATGATTCATATTCGGATCTCCCAGCCATGGATACCAGCACCTACTCCAGTGGAGGTGGCAGGGGAGTGAAGTTGACTTTTTGGAATTCCTTGATTGTAGTTTTGTTCAGTGTGCTGGTTTTTCTCAAATGCTGGTTATGCTAGCAGTCAAATTGTCACATGGACAGACTCAGGACCTCTGATAAGCCAGGATGTTGCAGGCAGTGAAATTAGCTGTTGTTTTCTTCTTCCTTGGGGCAGGGTTGTTCTTGTATGAGTTGCTGTAATGGCTTGAGTTGGTTAGCCTCCAGCCAGGAGGTGGTGCTTTCAAGAGAGCACCAGCTGTGATAGTAGAAAGGAGATACAAGCTTACCCTATGTTGGCTAGAATAAGTATTTGGGTTTCTCAGGTGATGGGCAGGGCCATAGAGCTCCCAAGAGTTTATGTCTTTTGTCTTTGTCTACTAGGGCAGTAAACCATCAGGTTGGGGCAGGGTTAGGTGGGTCTGAACAAAAACTCACCTTAGGCAGTGCTTGCTGTGGCCACTGTGGGGGATGGGAGGTGCTTCTCAGGCCAATGAAGTTATGTTCCAAGGGGGTTATAGCTGCCTCTGCTGCATCATACAAGTCACCAGGGATGTGTGGGAAAGCCAGCAGTGACAGGCCTCACCCTGCTCCCACACAGCCAGCAAGGCCAGTCTTTCTCCTGCTGTGCCCTACCAGGAAGCTGTGCAGGGCTGAAATCTTGCCCCAGGCTACAAGCTTCCCCACTGAGAAAGCAAGTAGGGCTCTCAGGCCTCTCCCCTCCCTAACTTCCCACACTGTCAGCTGTGGCTTCTGCACTCCTATCTGCACTTCCCATTCACTCCCCTGGATTCTGCTTAGAAAAATTTGTGCTCAGTCAAAAATTATTAAAGCTCAGCTAGAAGTTTCCTTCACCCTGTGGCCCCTCCCCTGTTCTGCTGGCTTCCTCCCCAAGGGCTGCTCTGAGATAAAGCCAGGGATGGCTTCCCTGGGCTCAAGCTCAGGACCAGGAGTGCCTACAGGGCTCTTCCCGCTGCTTCTTCTACTTTCATATTTTGCTTGGCTCCCTGAATCTGTTTCAGCTCTAGGTAAGGTTACATCTTTCTCTCATGATCTGGATTTTTAGGTTCCCCTGTGGGGATGTGTGTTCAGATACAGACTTTTCCCTCTCTTCACACTTTGAGAACTCACAGTTTTTCAGCTGTCTTGAAGTTTGCAGCAGCAAGCCTCTTCTTTCAAAGGGTCTGTGAATTCTTTCAGTTTTCCTGTTATGTTCCTGCTGTAGTTCTTGGAGCAAAGGTTCATGATGTGAGTCTCCACATGCTGTTCTATTTGTCCAAGTGGGAGCTGCACATTAGTCCTGTCTCCTATCTGCCATTTTCCTCTCTTCCTTTTTGAATACCAGCTTTAACTCATTCTTATGTACTGATCTAATTCTGTTGGATAAGTGAGCTTCTACTCTACAAATAATGGCTCAACATCTTCAGTTACCATCAAGTTTTTTAAAAGCACCACTGTTTATTAAATTTGTTAGCAAGGCCAATGTTATCTACAAAATAAAAAAATTTGGATTAGATAATTTATCAGACCCTTTTTAATTCATATGTTTTGTGGTCACATAAGTTTAGCTTCTGAGTGGCTTTGTTAGCTTTACTTTGTTTTATGACCACAGATGTACATACCATTGACTTTGCCCATCCATTTCATAATTGGAAAACAGAGAAAGAGGTAAGTTAAATAGACCGAAACCAGCTCCACTATTGGCAAACCAACTATTGATAAGTCATTTTCTCTTGTGAAGGAGAAAAATCTCTTTTTTATTCTTATATTTTTTTTAAATTAAGAAGTAATTTATTTATTTATTTATTTTTATTCTTTATTTTTTATTTTTTTTAATTATACTTTAAGTTTTAGGGTACATGTGCACATTGTGCAGGTTAGTTACATATGTATACATGTGCCATGCTGGTGCGCTGCACCCACTAACTCGTCATCTAGCATTAGGTATATCTCCCAATGCTATCCCTCCCCCTTCCCCCCTCCCCACCACAGTCCCCAGAGTGTGATATTCCCCTTCCTGTGTCCATGTGATCTCATTGTTCAATTCCCACCTATGAGTGAGAATATGCGGTGTTTGGTTTTTTGTTCTTGTGATAGTTTACTGAGAATGATGGTTTCCAATTTCATCCATGTCCCTACAAAGGACATGAACTCATTATTTTTTGTGGCTGCATAGTATTCCATGGTGTATATGTGCCACATTTTCTTAATCCAGTCTATCATTGTTGGACATTTGGGTTGGTTCCAAGTCTTTGCTATTGTGAATAATGCCGCAATAAACATACGTGTGCATGTGTCTTTATAGCAGCATGATTTATAGTCATTTGGGTATATACCCAGTAATGGGATGGCTGGGTCAAATGGTATTTCTAGTTCTAGATCCCTGAGGAATCGCCACACTGACTTCCACAATGGTTGAACTAGTTTACAGTCCCACCAACAGTGTAAAAGTGTTCCTATTTCTCCACATCCTCTCCAGCACCTGTTGTTTCCTGACTTTTTAATGATTGTCATTCTAACTGGTGTGAGATGATATCTCATAGTGGTTTTGATTTGCATTTCTCTGATGGCCAGTGATGATGAGCATTTTTTCATGTGTTTTTTGGCTGCATAAATGTCTTCTTTTGAGAAGTGTCTGTTCATGTCCTTCGCCCACTTTTTGATGGGGTTGTTTGTTTTTTTCTTGTAAATTTGTTTGAGTTCATTGGAGATTCTGGATATTCAGCCCTTTGTCAGATGAGTAGGTTGTGAAAATTTTCTCCCCTGTTGTAGGTTGCTTGTTCACTCTGATGGTAGTTTCTTTTGCTGTGCAGAAGCTCTTTAGTTTAATTAGATCCCATTTGTCAATTTTGGCTTTTGTTGCCATTGCTTTTGGTGTTTTGGACATGAAGTCCTTGCCCACGCCTATGTCCTGAATGGTAATGCCTAGGTTTTCTTCTAGGGTTTTTATGGTTTTAGGTCTAACGTTTAAATCTTTAATCCATCTTGAATTGATTTTTGTATAAGGTGTAAGGAAGGGATCCAGTTTCAGCTTTCTACATATGGCTAGCCAGTTTTCCCAGCACCATTTATTAAATAGGGAATCCTTTCCCCATTGCTTGTTTTTCTCAGGTTTGTCAAAGATCAGATAGTTGTAGGTAAGCGGCATTATTTCTGAAGGCTCTGTTCTGTTCCATTGATCTATATCTCTGTTTTGGTACCCGTACCATGCTGTTTTGGTTACTGTAGCCTTGTAGTATAGTTTGAAGTCAGGTAGTGTGATGCCTCCAGCTTTGCTCTTTTGGCTTAGGATTGACTTGGCGATGCGGGCTCTTTTTTGGTTCCATATGAACTTTAAAGTAGTTTTTTCCAATTCTGTGAAGAAAGTCATTGGTAGCTTGATGGGGATGGCATTGAATCTGTAAATTACCTTGGGCAGTATGGCCATTTTCACGATATTGATTCTTCCTACCCATGAGCATGGAATGTTCTTCCATTTGTTTGTATCCTCTTTTATTTCCTTGAGCAGTGGTTTGTAGTTCTCCTTGAAGAGGTCCTTCACATCCCTTGTAAGTTGGATTCCTAGGTATTTTATTCTCTTTGAAGCAATTGTGAATGGGAGTTCACTCATGATTTGGCTCTCTGTTTGTCTGTTGTTGGTGTATAGGAATGCTTGTGATTTTTGTACATTGATTTTGTATCCTGAGACTTTGCTGAAGTTGCTTATCAGCTTAAGGAGATTTTGGGCTGAGACGATGGGGTTTTCTAGATAAACAATCATGTCGTCTGCAAACAGGGACAATTTGACTTCCTCTTTTCCTAATTGAATACCCTTTATTTCCTTCTCCTGCCTGATTGCCCTGGCCAGAACTTCCAACACTATGTTGAATAGGAGTGGTGAGAGAGGGCATCCCTGTCTTGTGCCAGTTTTCAAAGGGAATGCTTCCAGTTTTTGCCCATTCAGTATGATATTGGCTGTGGGTTTGTCATAGATAGCTCTTATTATTTTGAAATACGTCCCATCAATACCTAATTTATTGAGAGTTTTTAGCATGAAGGGTTGTTGAACTTTGTCAAAGGCTTTTTCTGCACCTATTGAGATAATCATGTGGTTTTTGTCTTTGGCTCTGTTTATATGCTGGATTACATTTATTGATTTGCGTATATTGAACCAGCCTTGCATCCCAGGGATGAAGCCCACTTGATCATGGTGGATAAGCTTTTTGATGTGCTGCTGGATTCAGTTTGCCAGTATTTTATTGAGGATTTTTGCATCAATGTTCATCAAGGATATTGGTCTAAAATTCTCTTTTTTGGTTGTGTCTCTGCCTGGCTTTGGTATCAGGATGATGCTGGCCTCATAAAATGAGTTAGGGAGGATTCCCTCTTTTTCTATTGATTGGAATAGTTTCAGAAGGAATGGTACCAGTTCCTCCTTGTACCTCTGGTAGAATTCGGCTGTGAATCCATCTGGTCCTGGACTCTTTTTGGTTGGTAAACTATTGATTATTGCCACAATTTCAGCTCCTGTTATTGGTCCATTCAGAGATTCAACTTCTTCCTGGTTTAGTCTTGGGAGAGTCTATGTGTCGAGGAATGTATCCATTTCTTCTAGATTTTCTAGTTTATTTGCGTAGAGGTGTTTGTAGTATTCTCTGATGGTAGTTTGTATTTCTGTGGGATCGGTGGTGATATCCCCTTTATCATTTTTTATTGTGTCTATTTGATTCTTCTCTCTTTTTTTCTTTATTAGTCTTGCTAGTGGTCTATCAATTTTGTTGATCCTTTCAAAAAACCAGCTCCTGGATTCATTGATTTTTTGAAGGGTTTTTTGTGTCTCTATTTCCTTCAGTTCTGCTCTGATTTTAGTTATTTCTTGCCTTCTGCTAGCTTTTGAATGTGTTTGCTCTTGCTTTTCTAGTTCTTTTAATTGTGATGTTAGGGTGTCAATTTTGGATCTTTCCTGCTTTCTCTTGTGGGCATTTAGTGCTATAAATTTCCCTCTACACACTGCTTTGAATGCGTCCCAGAGATTCTGGTATGTTGTGTCTTTGTTCTCGTTGGTTTCAAAGAACATCTTTATTTCTGCCTCCATTTCGTTATGTAGCCAGTAGTCATTCAGGAGCAGGTTGTTCAGTTTCCATGTAGTTGAGCGGCTTTGAGTGAGATTCTTAATCCTGAGTTCTAGTTTGATTGCACTGTGGTCTGAGAGATAGTTTGTTATAATTTCTGTTCTTTTACATTTGCTGAGGAGAGCTTTACTTCCAACTTTGTGGTCAATTTTGGAATAGGTGTGGTGTGGTGCTGAAAAAAATGTATATTCTGTTGATTTGGGGTGGAGAGTTCTGTAGATGTCTATTAGGTCCGCTTGGTGCAGAGCTGAGTTCAATTCCTGGGTATCCTTGTTGACTTTCTGTCTCGTTGATCTGTCTAATGTTGACAGTGGGGTGTTAAAGTCTCCCATTATTAATGTGTGGGAGTCTAAGTCTCTTTGTATGTCACTCAGGACTTGCTTTATGAATCTGGGTGCTCCTGTATTGGGTGCATATATATTTAGGATAGTTATCTCCTCTTGTTGAATTGATCCCTTTACCATTATGTAATGGCCTTCTTTGTCTCTTTTGATCTTTGTTGGTTTAAAGTCTGTTTTATCAGAGACTAGGATTGCAACCCCTGCCTTTTTTTGTTTTCCATTTGCTTGGTAGATCTTCCTCCATCCTTTTATTTTGAGCCTATGTGTGACTCTGCACGTGAGATGGGTTTCCTGAATAGAGCACACTGATGGGTCTTGACTCTTTATCCAGCTTGCCAGTCTGTGTCTTTTAATTGGAGAATTTAGTCCATTTCCATTTAAAGTTAATATTGTTATGTGTGAATTTGATCCTGTCATTATGATGTTAGCTGGTTATTTTGCTCGTTAGTTGATGCAGTTTCTTCCTAGTCTCGATGGTCTTTACATTTTGGCATGATTTTGCAGCGGCTGGTACTGGTTGTTCCTTACCATGTTTAGCGCTTCCTTCAGGAGCTCTTTTAGGGCAGGCCTGGTGGTGACAAAATCGGTCAGCATTTGCTTGTCTGTAAAGTATTCTATTTCTCCTTCACTTATGAAGCTTAGTTTGGCTGGATATGAAATTCTGGGTTGAAAATTCTTTTCTCTAAGAATGTTGAATTTTGGCCCCCACTCTCTTCTGGCTTGTAGGGTTTCTGCTGAGAGATCCGCTGTTAGTCTAATGGGCTTCCCTTTGAGGGTAACCCGACCTTTCTCTCTGGCTGCCCTTAACATTTTTTCCTTCATTTCAACTTTGGTGAATCTGACAATTACGTGTCTTGGAGTTGCTCTTCTCGAGGAGTATCTTTGTGGTGTTCTCTGTATTTCCTGAATCTGAACGTTGGCCTGACTTGCTAGATTGGGGAAGTTCTCCTGGATAATATCCTGCAGAGTGTTTTCCAACTTGGTTCCATTCTCCGCATCACTTTCGGGTACACCAATCAGGCATAGATTTGGTCTAATAGTCCCATATTTCTTGGAGGCTTTGCACATTTCTTTTTATTCTTTTTTCTCTAAACTTCCCTTCTCGCTTCATTTCATTCATTTCATCTTCCATTGCTGATATCCTTTCTTCCAGTTGATCGCATCGGCTCCTGAGGCTTCTGCGTTCTTCACGTAGTTCTCGAGCCTTGGTTTTCAGCTCCATCAGCTCCTTTAAGCACTTCTCTGTATTGGTTATTCTAGTTATACATTCTTCTAAATTTTTTTCAAAGTTTTCAACTTCTTTGCCTTTGGTTTGAATGTCCTCCCGTAGCTCAGAGTAATTTGATCGTCTGAAGCCTTCTTCTCTCAGCTCGTCAAAATCATTCTCCATCCAGCTTTGTTCTGTTGCTGGTGAGGAACTGCGTTCCTTTGGAGGAGGAGAGGCGCTCTGCGTTTTAGAGTTTCCAGTTTTTCTGTTCTGTTTTTTCCCCATCTTTGTGGTTTTATCTACTTTTGGTCTTTGATGATGGTGATGTACAGATGGGTTTTCGGTGTGGATGTCCTTTCTGTTTGTTAGTTTTCCTTCTAACAGACAGGACCCTCAGCTGCAGGTCTGTTGGAATACCTTGCTGTGTGAGGTGTCAGTGTGCCCCTGCTGGGGGATGCCTCCCCGTTAGGCTGCTCGGGGGTCGGGGGTCAGGGGTCAGGGACCCACTTGAGGAGGCAGTCTGCCCGTTCTCAGATCTCCAGCTGCGTGCTGGGAGAACCACTGCTCTCTTCAAGGCTGTCAGACAGGGACATTTAAGTCTGCAGAGGTTACTGCTGTCTTTTTGTTTGTCTGTGCCCTGCCCCCAGAGGTGGAGCCTACAGAGGCAGGCAGGCCTCCTTGAGCTGTGGTGGGCTCCACCCAGTTGGAGCTTCCCGGCTGCTTTGTTTGCCTAAGCAAGCCTGGGCAATGGCGGGCGCCCCTCCCCCAGCCTCGCTGCCGCCTTGCAGTTTGATCTCAGACTACTGTGCTAGCAATCAGCGAGATTCCGTGGGCATAGGACCCTCCGAGCCAGGTGTGGGATATAGTCTCGTGGTGCGCCGTTTTTTAAGCCGGTCTGAAAAGCGCAATATTCGGGTGGGAGTGACCCGATTTTCCAGGTGCGTCCGTCACCCCTTTCTTTGACTCAGAAAGGAAACTCCCCGACCCCTTGCGCTTCCCAGGTGAGGCAATGCCTCGCCCTGCTTCGGCTCGCGCACGGTGCGCGCACCCACTGGCCTGCGCCCACTGTCTGGCACTCCCTAGTGAGATGAACCCGGTACCTCAGATAGAAATGCAGAAATCACCCGTCTTCTGCGTCACTCACGCTGGGAGCTGTAGACCGGAGCTGTTCCTATTCGGCCATCTTGGCTCCTCCAAGAAGTAATTTATATACAGTGAAATACTCAGATCTTAAGAAAACAGTTCCATGAGTTTTGTAAATATATACACCCATGTAATCTATACTTCAATTAAAATACATGTATCATTTTCATCACCTTAGAAAGTACTTTTGTGCCCATCTAGTCAATTTCCATTCCACCATACAGGCAACCAATTTTCTGATTTTTTTTCCTATTGAGGAGTTTTTTTCTAAACACATTTGTTTTTAAATTGCCATGCAATATTGTACAGAACATCAGAAAAACAAATGGTATTGCTTTTGGAGTTGAAGATTTAGGTCTAATTTTATAATGCTTGGATTCATCTAACAATATAAAATTTCATTACTAAGCAAATAATACTATGCCAATTTCATTCATCTATTGAATACTGATTTTTAAAATGTCTTCTGAGAGAGGAAAGTATGAGTCCAAAGGCCTTGGGTTTTTCACAAGGTTTGCATGAATTTCCGTAAATAATGGAATTTTTCATGCTCTCTCTCTCTCTCTCCCTCTCTCTGTCTCTCATTCCTCATATGCAAATTGAGAGAATCAGACTAATGGTTTTCTAAGAAAGGCATCTTACAGATTTAACATTCTTTGATGCTGTATTGTTTCCTCAGAGCACTACATCTAAAACACCTTATAAATCCAAAATAAGTCATTACTTTTTTTAATATCCTTTGAATTATGTGGATGTTTATGTGGTTGTTGTAGAATGTGATACCTATGAAAGAAAAAAAATAATTTCAAAGTC
Source organism: Homo sapiens (assembly GCF_000001405.40). Classification (NCBI taxonomy): domain Eukaryota; kingdom Metazoa; phylum Chordata; class Mammalia; order Primates; family Hominidae; genus Homo; species Homo sapiens. Next base: position 86,329 of record NT_187549.1, read on the forward strand.
CTTTGTTCAGTTAGTATCCATTTATTTACGTTTTTAATGCTATTGCATGCCTTCCCCCAAACTTGATGGCATCAAACAATAATTTATTACTATCTCAGTTCTGTGGCTTGACCGGATCCAGCAGGGTGGTTTTCACTAGGGATTTCTTATGTGGTTGCCATGAAATAGCAGCTAGAGGTGGCTGAATCTAGAGTAATCTGAAGGTGTCTTCACTCATATGTATTGGGTTGGGGCTTGGCATGGCTGGAATAGCTGGAAAAAGTTGGATATTTGTCATCATGCAGCTTCCCCACATGGCTCATTGATCTTCTTCATGGCATGGGGATTTCAAAATGCTCAGACTTTTCTTTTCCCTTTTTTTTTTTTTTTTTTTTTTTTTTTTTTTTTTTTTTACATAGTGGCTAGCTTTTCCCCAGAGTGAGTGATGTTACCTAGAGAGACAGAATCCTGCTGCTAGGCTTCTGTGGGTCTAGCCTATGAAGAAGCCTAATCATAAAGTATATCTTATCACCATCTCAATCTTTCATTTGTAATTTAGTAACTACACCTACCCAGATACAAAAGGATGGGAATTAGACTTCACTCCTGGATAGAAGGCCTGGTGCCATGGCTCACGCCTGTAATCCCAGCACTTTGGGAGGCCAAGGCGGGCAGATCACAAGGTCAGGAGTTCAAGATCAGCCTGGCCAGCATGGTGAAACCGCGTCTCTACTAAAAATACAAAAATTATCTGGGCATGGTGGTGCGTGCCTGTAATCCCAGCTACTTGGGAAGCTGAGGCAGGAGAATTGCTTGAACCCGTGAGGCAGAGGTTGCAGTGAGATGAGATTGCACCACTGCACTCTAGCCTGGGTGACAGAGCAAGACTGTCTCAAAAAAAAAAAAAAAAAATTGCAGCCATCTTTAATCTAACATAAAGAAGTTTATATTTTTAGATCTGTAGCCTGAGTCTCTCTCTTTTCTATGCTTAACAAACTTTAATGTATAATTAATCATTTAATAGTTAACTCATCTATAAGTCAAAAGATCTCATAATTTTTAATTATGGAATCTTGACCAAATTACCCCACCTATTTTAAATTTGGACTTTTTATCTGTAAAACCTGTCCTCTCTCCCTTTCAAAAGGATTATATGAGTCAGATGTGATAACATATGTAAAAGTATAAAACTATGAAAATCATGGAAATGTAAGTTATCATCTTGGTTATTAAAATAATTTTGACTCCATTTTTTTTTCCTGCAAAACAGTGAAACAAAATAAATGTCTTCTTAAAGTAGTTGAATTTCCCAAGTTGGTTCTACATACATCACCTTTTTCCTTTGCCATGAACGGCCATGCTCACAGAGCCCTTTCCTGAGCTCTGTACTTAAAATGGCCTCTGAGGCCAGGTTCAGTGGCTTACCCCTGTAATCCAAGCACTTTGGGAGGCTGAAGCAGAAGGATCACTTGAGGCCAGAAGTTCAAGATCAACCTGAGCAACATAATGAGACCCCATCTCTAAAAATTTTTTTTTTAAAAAACTAGTCAGGTGTGGTGGCATGAGTCTGTAGTTTCAGCTACTTGGGAGGCTGAGGTGGGAGGATGGCTTGAGCCCAGGAGGTTGAGGCTTCAGTGAGCCATGATCATGCCACTGCACTTGAGCCTCGTGACAGTACAAGAGCCTGTCTCAAAAAAAAAAAAAAAATTAAAATAGCTTCTGACTATTGAGCTTACCATACTTTTAAAAAATAACACTAACTCTAATCTCCACCTAAAAAAAATTGCATATTCATTCATCTACCTATTTGTTTTCCGTCTCTTCTAGAACATGAGATCTTGTGGACAGAGACTCAGAGTTTCCTCAGTGCTGATAAGAAACTGGCAATTACCAGACAATTAACAAACATTTTTGAATAAATGAATGACTGAATAAATGACTGGTGTTATTACCGTTGACCCATCTGGCATCCTAGTTTTGAAGTTTCTTTCCCTTTATAGCTCTTACAGCTTTCACTTACTTTTGCCTTCAACAATATATTATAGTTCATCTTGAAACTAGTCACTTCCTAGAGTGACTCCTTTTCTCAGTCTTCCCTGTCTAATTTTGGCCTCTTACAGCTATGATAAAATCTTGGCAATCCTTTTTGTGGCATGTCTCTGAAATATGTCTCATTCTTTCCATTTTTACTACCATTGTCTCAGGCCAGGGATTTATCATAGTCTCTTATCTAAATTGTTACAAAAATACCCTAGGTAGTTTTCTTCTTCACTGTTTTCTAAAAGCATTAGCATCCTAAAACATTGATTTTTGTAATATTATTCTGCTCTTCACAAAACTTTGGGTGGTTTACCCATGGCTATGGGATGAACTTCAGGCTTCTAAATATTGTAGTCTTGTTGTGTCCTTATCTAGTTTCTGTCCACCTTTTCCAGCTGCATGGACTTCCAACACTCCAACAACGAAAGCCCTCTAAACTGGTGTGTTTTCATCTCAAGTGGGCATACAAATCACCTAGAAATATCGTTAAAATGTAGATTCTGATTCAGAAGTCCAAGGATGGAGCTTGAGATTCTGCATTTCTAGCAAGCTCCCAGGCGATGCCAATGCCTCCACTCAAGCCTCTGTTGGAGTAGGAAGGCTCCGTCATTGAGCGTAGATGCCACGTGCTTCTGCCTGTCTGCCTTATGCTGTTTCCAGGCTTGAAGGTTCTTCATTCACCTCTCTGTCTGGTGAATTCCTATAGTCTGAAGATCTAAATCAAACATCATCTTCTTAAAACCTTTTTTTTTTTTAACCTTTTTCAGGAAGAATTGATCATGTGTTTTCTTTTTTTCTTTTAATATTTTTAATTTTTGTGGGTACATAGTAGATGTATATATTTATGGGGTACATGAAATATTTTGATACAGTCATGCAATGTGAAATAAGCACATCATGGAGAATGGGGCATCTATCCCCTCAAGCATTTATCCTTTGTATTACAAACAATCCAATTACACTCTTTTAGTTATTATTGACTATAGTCACCCAGTGGAATCATCTGTCTTTTTACAGTACTTTGTCGATATTTAGTTGTATATATGGTTTTCTTTTTAAATTGTGCATTCCTTAGAGGCAGTGATGGTGCCATCACAGTTGGGAATAAAAACGTCATACCCAAAGAAATTATTATATCATGCATAGAGTGTATATTATATAAAGTATAAAGTATATCCACAAAATCCCCTGGAAATACAGGAGTACCTGAAACAATTGCCATATGTCTATTATGTGCTAGTTTACCACACTATATTTAGTGCATAGCAGGTGTGCAATACCGATTTGTTGAAACTGTTTTGAAGAATTAAGTCCAAAAATTGACTACAAAAAATGCTAGTCTGGTTGTCCGACTTTGGGATTTTCTGTTGGAAAATTTGTTAGGCCATAAATTATTTTCCTGAAAAATGTATAATATTTACTATCGTACTTAATGATCCAAAAATCTGTACTGAATCAGAAGTAGAAATGTTAAAGTAATTACATTGAGAAGTCAATTTAACGAATACCTGGTATGTGACAGCATTATTTCTATAATTTTTTATTGCCCAATTTATCACTTTTATTGTTCATTTACTTATGTTATATAGTTTCAGAATGAATTATAATATCTATTCCTCTCCCCCATTTTTTTCCAATATGAGCCCTTACAAAGCCACAGAAAGCTTTTATGTGAACAGAGTTTTTATATTTGTTAAAGTGAGTCTATTTGATTCTTATGTGCTTTGGATAATTTCCCTAGAGTCTTTCCTTAATTATATCATACATGTGTTAAACAAGCACTTGCTTTCTTGCAGTCCAACTCAACTTGATCATCCAGAGTGGCCACAGGACTCAAACTGTGCTGTTTATTATCACTTAATGTCTGTGGTCTTCTAAGCACAGAATTCTGAGTAGAAAAGCAAAGCCTTTGCATGATATAAATATTTGTATCTCACAAAAAGCAGGAGAAATGTACAACACGGCTGGCACAGGTCATGACATGATGTTGGCCACCCCCACCCCCTCTTCAGATGCAAAACGGGAAATAACAAATATCATTTGTTACTATCACAATGAGGTAATTTTTCCTGTTGGGATATACAGAGAAAACTCTGTAAGTATGATTAAAACAACAAGAAATCTGATTTAGCTTTAGCTTCATACCCTGTTAAGAACTCCCTGCACAATTTTGGCCTAAATTTTAGTACATTATATACTTGTTATGAAAACCTTTAACTGAAGCTTTGCAAAATGCTTCCAAAATAGGCTTAGATCACCTAACAAATCATACATGCCAACAGAATAATGTTACTTCCTAGTTCCAAGTTTATTGTGTTACAGAACTTTAAGGATCAAATGAATATAAATTTACAAAGACACTACCGATTTTCCACTTGGAGCATGAACTGAATAATTTAAAAAGAAATGTAATAGTAATCCAAATATTGCCCAAGTTGTTCTTAAACCTATTAAACAGAGATGAGTAGGAAAGATTGATAATGTTGAAGGGAAAGGGAGGCTTTTAAAGTAAACTCCAGCAAAGAGTGAAACATTAATGTATCGGTTTGGTTGGAAGAGATCTGGAATATCAAGCAAACTCTACTTTGTAAGCTTATATTATATCATGATGGCAACTGCAAATTATAAATCAGACAGGTTTGTATTTCCATAGGCAAATGGAAATTTTCCTTCATGAATTTGGACAGTGTGAACCAGAGTCAATTCAACCCTGTCTGTGAATAAGTAGCTCAGTTTATTGAAGCATGATTCTTTAGTTTAAGCATAGAGATGGCTACTATCTATGCTGTGTGGGTAGCTAGCTAGCTTTGGTGTTTTTCATGGTAATGGGACACCCCATTCATGAAAAGCCATCCTAAAATTGTCCACAGTTGTTCTTTGCAAGGAACCAACAAAGAGGACTGTGGTCTGATTAGCATAACACATCTAGGCTTCTGTCTCTTGAGAATAAAAGCATGTGCCCCTTTTAGATGGTGAATCAGAGGCTTTATCTTTGCATCTAAGGGATGGTAATAGTGAATATTATTATTATACATGGAAATCATTGGATTTTGTCTCTCTTGCTTAGATTTTTATTTGGATAATATATTGAGGGTAAAGTACCCTGAAGCAAAGAAGAATGTCTGTTCCTGCTCCCCAGCCAAAGGGTGGTAAAGAGAAGGGCTTCCAGATCTGAAATACAAATAACTAGAAAATTGCAGTTTCCCTTGGGACTGGGGGTGGTGATTAGCCCATGAGACTAGTAACAAGAAGATGGCAAAAGAGAAAAATGCCCTGCTTGGGAGTGGTTTTGTTTTTTGTTTGTTTAATTAATTCATTTATTAATGTAACTGCAGTATAGGAAATAAAGAGCTATTTCCTTTGCTAAGATTAAAAGTTTTAAATGAAAACTCTGCAGCCATCTAAGAAAGTAAAAGGAGGGGAGTAAGAAATGACCACCACATGGCCATCTAAGGCACCAGGAGAGTTTTCTATGTCAGCAGGTAGAAGAAAGTGTCACACAGCAGAGGCATTACTAATGTAGGGAGAAGAATGTTCTGTCACCTCTAGTCATTTACAGACCCAAGAGATTGAGGCATTGTGAGATATTTACACAGCATATTTGGATTGTATGGTTAATGCTTGTTGCTTTCAGTTAAATTTCTTCCTAAAGTACTACATAGTGTTCTTTTCAGTAGGAAGCTTTGACCTATCCTATAGAAATTGTTTTGCAGTTGCTGAGTGGGGGCTTCATGTGAAAATAAAAGCCCCTTAAAAAAATCACCCAGTCCTTTGGGCCAAGGTCATCTTAACACTAGAATTAAATTATGCTAATATTAATTGAAATTCAAGGTGTTTGCCCTATATAATCCACTCATCTCTCCACTTCACTTTGCCTGCAGAAACAGTCAGACAGTAATTTTTATTAAAGCACAAACTCAAATGTAGGGTTCACTATAAAATAATTCAATGAGATTACAGAAGATATGACTAATACAAACGAGTTGGTCTTTGAACTTGTTTGATTATGAATAGAAATGCTGACTTCAAATTCCCTTGAGATGAAAGTTTGCTAGATTGATCTGTTTTCTTTATTTCTTTTGTCTTCTCTTTCTTTTCCTTTCAGTTCCTTTTTTCTTCCTTTTTCTCCCTCTTTTTTTTTTTTTTTTCTATTTTTTTTTTTTTTTGAGACGGAGTCTCACTCTGTCACCAGGCTGGAGTGCAGTGGCAGAATCTTGGCTCACTGCAACCTCCGCCTCCCAGGTTCAAGTGAGTCTCCTGCCTCAGCCTCCTGAGTAGCTGGGACTACAGGCGTCCGCCACCTTGCCCGGCTAATTTTTTTGTATTTTTAGTAGAGACGGGGTTTCACCTTATTGGCCAGGGTGGCCTCAATCTCTTGACCTCGTGGTCCACCCACCTCGGCCTCCCAAAGTGCTGGGATTACAGGTATGAGCCACTGTGCCCAGCGCTTTCTCTCCCTTTTTATTTTTCATTTTCATTCTCTTTATTCTAATGTCAAGGTAAACACCAGTTCTTGGTGACTTTTTTTTAAATAAAGTTTTTTTTTGCCTAAATAAGACATAAGCAACTTGATCCCTCACACTTAATACATCCAGTCCTAACTTGTATTGGAAAGCTAGTTCCAAGGCTGGTGTTTTGTATATATGGTGAGCCTAATACCACAGATGGCCTCTGTGTGGATGCAGGGACCCTACATTGTAGATTATTCTGAAAGTTCTACTATTAATAGCCAGTGTAATAATTGAACACTTTCTTGATTAGCTTATTTTGTGGAGTGGGGGGAGTGGAACAGAGGACAAAATGATTTCTTATGCTTACCCAGAGTATGGAATAACTGCGAGGCATTGCTTAAAGCTATTTAATTAAAATATTAAAATGACCAAAAAACACAGGAATCGCCAGCAATGTTACGAGTCAGCAGTGGAAATGTTCCTTGTCAATCATGGGAAGAATGCTGAGCTTCAACCATCTCAAGCGCATATAACCCCATTGGTTTTTCTTTTTGGCAGTCTTGGTCCAAAAAAAAAAAAAAAAAAACCACACCAAAAAAACCTCAAAACATTGATCATGCCAGGTTAGATTTTACCAGGGATTTAAAGTCACCACCACCCTCCACAGCCCTCATTCATGCTCAGCTGCTACAAATAATGGCCTAGCACGAATTGGTTTACAATCCTGGTGGACTCCTACAGAGCTAATAAATCCAGAAATATTACTTGGATGGAAACATATGATAATCACATGATGACTTTTTAAATACATTCCGTAGTCTCATGTATAAAAATAAAAAACGTGCAGGGCTTAGATATCCCTTCATTGTATCAAATTAAATTGGATTTAATGCCTGGTGGTGTGTCATCCAGCTCAGACCCATTTGCACAAGGCTGTGGAGTACAGAGCTGGTTCAGATGAATGAATAGCTTTCTCATGACTTCACCCCCACTCTGCTGTCTCTTTTCCTGTCCTTTGTATTGTAATGGAGGACAGCTGTGGCAGTGAAGTGAATATTAACTAACCCCAGTGCCTCAGCAGATTGTGACTTTAATCCTGGCAAATACCACTAAAATCAAAATTTAATTACACTCAGAGTAGCTCTGTTAATGCCTAAAAAATATTTAACAATTAGTGGTTGGCTTAATTAAGCAAACTGCCTTTCACAAAGCAACCTGAAAAGTCCTCCCAAGCCCTTCCCCCACCCCCACCCCCTTTTTTTTAATCCCTTAGACTAATTAGTCTGATGTAAACTCACAGCACTTCATTTACTGTTACTGAGTCTGCTGTTTAGCTGATCTAGGCTCTGAGCTTAACAGCTTGTAATAGAAGGGAAGTTGTAAAAAGAAAGAAATTAGGTTCACTGCACACAGCTAGTTAATAAAAAAAAATCCTTTTAATAAACCACCAATCATCGCTAGTCATTTCCTCATTCATATACATATATATGTATATATCAGAATGGCTTATTTCAGTTACAATATTAGTTACAGGAGATTCAGGAAAGCCAAATAACAAATATATTAGTGAAGAATCACTTCTATCAAAATAATTATTCTGTGTCCATATAGATTGAAAAATACTATTTACATATAAATTTGGAAGAGACAGATCCTTTTTTGTAAACTAAACAACCAAAGAAATAAAATAAAAAACAAATGAAGAATGATGGAAAAATCATTAAAATTTAAATCCCATTCTCTGATTGATGCGTGATACTACCTGACCTGTTACATGTTCATTCACTCATCCAAACATCAAACATTTATTAATGATATAATGTGACTCGATGGGATGATACAAATACATTATTGTAAATCTGTACATTGACACCTATAGAATGTTTTAAAATGCCACAACAGAAAAGTTTATATGACCTATCTACTGAGTATCATTTTCTACTTGGATTCTTAGAAAAGACCTTGCCATTAATAATTGCGAGAATAAAACACAGTAACACTTCAAAAGGTCTCTTATTCAGCAAGCTAAGAAAAGAAACAAGAATCATAAAATAACAACAAAAATATTGCCATTGAGAACCAAAACAAGTCCCAGAGCTATTAAAGGAGCTTAAAGACCACTGAGTCCAGCTCCATATTTTACAGAAGAAAAAAACTGAAATTCAGAGAGTTTAAGTGATTTTCCAGGGCTATATGAAGAACTATTATCAAGTTCATCAGAAGGTCACCTGAGGCCCCTCTAGGCCCCCATTCCAGGCATGTTCCCTTTTATCTGATATTGGATACAATTATAGCAAGATGCATTATTTGATTTCCCAAACTGCAGCAGATTAGAAGTCACAAATTAGAGGCTGAAAGAGAATTTCTAGAGGCTTAGTGTTCAGATGCTGTGAAACATGAGAACACATGATAAAATTTGGAACCTGCTAAGCAAAAATTAATCTGGACAAGATGGTCTCTTGGTAACACTCAAATCTAGGGGACAAATAAATGTCAGAAAAAAATTCTTAATTTTACAATGCAGAACTGTGCTGCCTTTGATCATCCTATTTGATTGTGTATGCATAGTATTTGTGTGTGTGGGTGTGTGTGTGAGAGAGAGAGAGAGAGAGAGAGAGAGGAAGGAGAGAGAGAGATTCTCTCCTTCAGGGCTTTTAAGATAATACTGAAAAAGATTGAGATAATAAGCTAATTTAGTGATTTTCTTTTTGAGACTATCAAAAGAAAAATATTTTTCTCTGCTCCTAGAAAGTGCCTACTGAGGGTTTTAGTGTAAGTGATATGTTCATTTTTCAATCTAGGAAATAAAAACCTGTAATCTCCCCCATATGAGATGGTTTCACCTGTATGGATTTCTTTAGGCCTTCCTTTTGTTTCATATTTAAAACTAGTTTTTGAGAATTTTGGTTGTTGCTTTAATTCAACAATTAGGAGACAGAAATGAAGACAGCAAGTATCATTCATGTGTATGTGTCTAAAAGGATGTTAGGTACACCACACCTAACTGCAAGCACTCTGCAACCCGGTACAATTCTGTACATTTCCATTTAATTGGCAGGCTGTGTTTCAAGTCTCATGGTTGGTTGAGGATGAAGATGAATTTGCAGTTCATAGTACAGAAGAGGAAGTACATATGGTTTGTGATTGAGATACTTATGTTTTGACTGAAGAATTGTGCAGCATCTGGCAAGTGTATAAATCCTTCAGTGGCAGCTATTTAACTTTTTAATACCAGAGGAAACAGCATATTATATTTCAAAATTGATAGCTTTGAAAAATGGGTATTAACATGATGATATAAGTGGATACAAAATCTTCTTATGGGTTTTCCATGAATAATTGTACCTTAATGGTATATGCAACTTATGTTTCAAATTCTTTTGTCTATTAGTCGCATACATATATCTTTATTTCTTCTTGAATGTATGCTGCATAACTATTAACCAAATGTTCATTCACCATCAAGTTCTGTTTCTTCAGTGTGTTTTCTCATTCAAAAGCATATAACAATTCTCCTTAATGATACAAATAACCCACTTCTAATGGACTATTATGCCTCTTTTCCATTCTTGAAAAGCATTATTGCTTTCAGGTTTTTAGTTAAATGCTATACAATTTCAAAATAGTATAATACACTTAAATGATCTTTAAGTTTCTCTTTAAAAGAGCAGTAAGTATTAAAAGCCAAACAGAAAAATTGCCAAAGTCAGTTCACCTCAATTCAACTGTCAAAACTTTTCATGTGAAAAATAAATGGAAATGTTTTTCTATTTCAAGTAAGCAAATTTGTGGGTACAGCATTCTCTTTTGACTCTGAAAATCATTTGAAAACCAAAAAGCTTGTCCATGTTTGTTTTCAATTTGCAAAAAGTCAGCTGCATCCGTGAAACAGGCACTGAGCCTCATTATCTTGGCTAATAGAGAAAGAACTGCCCTCTCTTGAAAGGTGCAATAAATCTTTCATGTTCTTAAGTATTGCTTCATGTTCATCAGCAAGAATTTATCTAACAGTGTGCGACTAACATAAACATGTAACATCACCTCTTTCCTACTTCATACGTTGCCTACCCACGCAAACACACACACACTCACATTCAAACTAACGTGCGCACATACACTATCCCTCCCCCAAGCCTCTACCACTAATGCCCTAAGAATGAGAAGAGAGGCCGGGCGCAGTGGCTCACGCCTGTAATCCCAGAACTGCGGGAGACTAAGGCAGGTGGATCACTTGAGGTCAGGAGTTCCAGACCAGCCTGGCTAACATGGTGAAACCCCATCTCTACCAAAAATATAAAAAAATTAGCCAGGTATGGTGGCATGCGCCTGCAATTCCCAGCTACTTGGGAGGCTGAGGCAGGAGAATAGCTTGAACCCGGGAGACAGAGGTTGCAGCAGTGAGCCGAGATTGTGCCATTGCATTCCAGCCTGGGCAACAAGAGCGAGCCTCTATCTCACAAAAAAAAAAAAAAAAAAAAAAAAGGAAAAAAAAAAAAAAGGAATGAGAAGAGAAATATACCCAACTAAATTCAATATTTGTTTTGATTTAGATTGCAAGATGATCTGTGTTTCACTGTATGGATTTATTTAATATTTGATCATGGCACAGGGAAAAAAACTTAATAGATGCTTGTAGTTGCCTGAAGTAAATAAAACTTTAACTTGTGCTTAAGATCTGTAGAAAAATAACTTTGGAAGGACACAAGGATCTCAACCTTTGTACTTCAGATGAATTTTACCATTCAGAACCAGTAATTTTCAACCTTTCTTAAACAGTTAACATCATAGTGATACTTAGTTGTTTCTTGTGTCCACTTGCAACTGTTTCTATTTCCTTCTATGAGATTGTCCATGGTAGTCAAGAACAGCTTGACACTCCCTATACAATAGTGATTGAGTTACCCCTTCTGTCTTGCAGGGTGAATGGCCAGGGTTCATGTAATTCTTCCTTTTGGGACTTAAATGCTTTCCAAATCAGATGTCCCCAACTGTTCTTTTAGGAGTCATCTTTCCCCATAATGATCAAATAGTGTTTTCAGCACCGATTCCACAGAATACAGGATGTCTGCTCTTTACCAAGTCTCCTTCCCTGCTGAGTTTCTGGCTGTCTCTGAGGAATAGTTCCATTAACTAAGTCTGAATGATTACTTGTAATTTTTAAAAGCTTCCTAGCTCAGGCCACTGCCTTCTGGAGCACAGCAGCCTACCTCTTCCAGGCTGCTAGTCTTCATCCAATAACTTTTCAGTCTCTAAGTAGAATTTAGGTAGTATTTCCAAATTCCTGACATCATAATCTTCAGGATTCTGGAACTAGAAATAGAAATTCCTGGAAATTCTAAGACAGCCCTGAAATAATATGTTTTTTTCCATTTTTCATAATACTTTTCCTGTGTTCATGAGTGGTAACGATAAACTATGAACCATTTTTATATAAAAATTTAAGAGGTTTTATGTAAAATATAATAATAAAAGCATGATTTTCACAGCATTGTATCTTTCAGTAACATATAAAAATGATCTCCACCTGGTATGGAAATTGGATAATAAAACATTAAAGAAAATGACATTTATATGAAATAAGTGACAAAAGCCAGTTAAATAATTGAAATGCCACATATATTTAATAATTAGAAGTTATATTTAAGATGAAATTTTAAAACTCACAAAGCATTAATTGCCTACTTATAGTCTTGGTCTTTTTTTCATTTTTCCATTGTCAGTTTTCACAAATATTCCAGTCCAGAAAAGTTTCATGTATTTTTCAAAGACGCTGATCAAATTTGTTAAGAATATGTCCACAAGCTTCTTAACATTATGCATTAGGATATATGTTGCTTCATGAATCTCATTTTTTTAATAATGCAAACATTTTGTTTGCTTGACATTGATTTGGATATTGTCACTTAAATTAATACTGCTTTTGTTAATAGAGATTTTAGATCAATTTCTGAATTCCTGTTGTAATATTCCACAATAACATCTTTTTCTATTTGCATGTTTTTTCTGTTTAAGTATTTACAAGAAACTCTACCATAGCACTTACCCTATTTCTGGGGAATGCCAGAGAATATGATTAACTAGCATTCAAATAACATAACATTTAGATCTTCTAGCAAGGCTAATAGCAACACATAGAATGGTATATCAAAATTACCAGTTTAAGGACTTATTTTGGTTCTAAAGCTTATTTCTTGGACCACCATTGATAGGATTGGTATAAAGTATATTATGTGAATAAGCTCATTAATATTTATATTATTTGTGAAAATGACTCACTGTTTGCAGCAGTCAGAGCCAAGAACACATCCAACTACAAGTAAGAGTGGCTAGATGAGAACTACTTCTCTCTTATGTGCTCTTCTCCTATTCATGAAAATGTCAGCCTTAACCCTTGACTCCCATGTCAGCATTCCCGGCTCTTGCTTTCAACTTGACATCAGTGATTTCTTCTAATCATACAGTCCTTATGTTGATTGTCAAGCTCCAAATCTTGTAGGAGCATTGAAATGCTTGTCTCCTGTTTTCCTGATTTTTTCGACTATTTGTTTTTCACAATTTAGGAGTGGAAAAACATATACATATTCTGAGATATACTGAGAAAGCATTTCTACATGGGAAAAGTAAACCCGAGTCATTTACATTCTTATTCCAAAGCTGTAAAATAGTGATGTTGTACCTGATTGTTCAACTTTTTATTTTTTTATTTTTATATATTTAAAGTGTCAAATATATAAAAATTAGAATAGTGTAATGAACCTCTGTGCATATATCATCCAGTTTCAACAATTACCAAAACATGGCCAATCTTTTTAAACTTACATATTTACTCACTCCTCCGCCCCCATTATTTATAACCCATTATGGGTTATTTTAAAGTAAATCCTATACGTTGTTTCATAGGTGCTAAATATATGAAAATCCACATACAAAAGATTGAAGTTGGACCCCTACCACACACCATATATAAAACATTACTCACAATGTATCAAAGACCTAAGCATAAGAGCAAAACTCTAAAATGCTTAGAGAAAAATTTTGTGACTTGGATTAGGTAACAGTTTTTTCAGATGAGACATCTGAAATACAAGCAACAAAAGAAATAAGAGATAAAAATTGGACTTCATCACAATTAAACATTTTTGTTCTTTAAAGGACACCATCAAAATAGTGAAAAAAACACAGAGAATGGGAAAATATTTGCAACACATATATCTGATAAGGGTATAGTAACCAGACTATATAAAGAACTCTTCCACTTTGACAATAAAAAGACAAATATCCCAATTAAAAGTGGAGAAAAGGATTTGAATAGGCACATCTCCAAAAAAGACATATAAGTGACCAATGAGCTCATGAAAAGATGCTGAAAGTTATTAGTTATTAGATAGATACAAATCAAAACCACAATAAGATACCATTTCATACCCACTAGGATGTCTATAATGAAAAAGATGAACAAGTATTGACAAGGATGTGGAGAAATCAAAACTCTCGTACATTTCGGGTAAAGATGTAAAATAGTTCAACTGCTTTGGAAAACATTTTGTCAGTTCCTCAAAAGATAAACATAGTATTACCGTACAACCCAGAAATTCCACTCCTAGGTATATGGTCAAGAAAATGGAAAACATATGTGCACACATAAACTTGTACATGAATGTTCATAGAAGCATTATTCATAATAGCCAAAAAGTGGAAACAACCCAGATGTCAATCAACTGATAAATGAACCAACAAAACTTGGCACAACCATGCAACATTATTCATCCATAAAAAGAAATGAAGTATTGATACATGCTACAACATGGACAACATTTCCAAATATTATACTAAGTGAAAGAAGGCAGAATAAAAGGCCATGTGTTGTGTGATTCCATTTACGTGAAATACCCAGAATATGTAAATCTCCATAGAGATAGGAAGTAGATTAATGGTCACCAGAGCCTGTGAGGAGGAAGGAATGAAGAGTGACAGCTGTTGTGATGAGAATATTCTGGATTATATCTTTTACAATGTTACAAACTATAAGTTAGTACTATATATACAGGGTTGAGATTATATATGTGTGCACACACACACACATACACACTTACACATACATGGTTAAGCCTTGAACAACATGCGGGTTAAGAATGCTGACCCTCCACATAGTCAAAAATTTCTGTATAATTTTGACTTTCCAGAAACTTAACTTATAGCCTCCTGTTGATCAGCAGAAGCCTTACCGATAACCTAAACAATTAACACATAATTTGTATGTTGTATGTATTATATGCTGTATTCTTATAATAAAGTAATCTAGAGAAAAGAAAATGTTATTAAGAAAGTCATAAGGAAGAGAAAATATATTTACTATTCATTAAACAGAAGTGAATCATCATAAAGACCTTCAGGCCAGGCACACTGGCTCAAATCTGTAATCCCAGCACTTTGGGAGGCTGAGATGGGAGAATTGTCTGAGGCCAGGAGTTCAGGACCAGCCTGGGCAACATAGTGTGACTCCTTCTCTACAATTTTTTTTTAATTAAAAAAAGAAAAAGATCTTTATCCTCATCATCTTCATATTGAGTGTGTTGAGGAGATGGAGGAAGAAGAGGGGTTGGTCTTGCTATCTCAAGGGTGGGAGAGGTGGAAGAAAATCCACGTGTAAGTGGACCTGTGCAGTTCAAACCTATGTTGTTCAGGGGTCAACTATATATTTATAAATAATTTATGGGCTAACACAGTGAAACCCCATCTCTACTAAAAGAAAATACAAAAAAAATTAGCCAGGCCTGGTGGTGGGCGCCTGTAGACCCAGCTACTCGGGAGGCTGAGGCAGGAGAATGGCGTGAACCTGGGAGGTGGAGCTTGCAGTGAGCCGAGATTGCGCCACTGCACTCCAGACTAGGCGACAGAGTGAGACTCCATCTCAAAAAAAAAAAAAAAAAAGAATTTATGTTACATATACATATATATTCTAGTTTTTCATCTCTGTTCACTTATTCATACAAATTAATGAATTATATAAATATGTACTGGGTGCTTATCCTATGTGACATGTGTCCATCAATATGGAAATCTGGTATATATAATTCTTCATAAAATATCCAGTCTTGAGTATTTTGTTAGAACAGAAGAAATTGACTCAGAGAGAAACTGATACTAGAAAAATGATGCTGTTGCTATAACAAATACCTGAAAATGTGGATGTGGCTTTGGAACTTGGTAATAGGTAGTGGCTGAAACAGTTTTAAAGTGAATGGTAGAAAAAGCCTGCACTGCCATTAACAGAGCATTAAGTGTGATTCTGGTGACGTCTCAGAAGGAGAGGAGAACTGCAGAAAAAGCCTCAGTCTTAGAGATAACTAAGTGGTTGTGAACAGAATGTTAGTAGAAATATGGACAGTAAAGATCATTCACGGCCGGGCGCGGTGGCTCACGCCTGTAATCCCAGCACTTTGGGAGGCCGAGGCGGGCGGATCACGAAGTCAGGAGATCGAGACTCATCCTGGCTAACATGGTGAAACCCTGTCTCTACTAAAAATACTAAAACAAAATTAGCCGGGCGTGGTGGCGGGCGCCTGTAGTCCCAGCTACTCGGGAGGCTGAGGCGGGAGAATGGCGTGAACCTGGGAGGCGGAGCTTGCAGTGAGCCGAGATTGCGCCACTGCACTCCAGCCTGGGTGACAGAGTGAGACTCCGTCTCAAAAAAAAAAAAAAAAAAAAAAAAAAGATCATTCACATGGTGTTTTAAATGAAAATGAGGGACATTTTGCTGGAAACTGGAGGAAAGACCATCCTTGCTACAAAGTGGCAAAGAAGATGGCTGAATTGTGTCCATGTCCTAATGTTTTGTGGAATGCCGAATTTAAGGGCAATCAACTAGGATATTTAGCAAAAAAAATCTCTAAGCAAAGTATTCAAGGTGCTGCATGCTTTCTCTCAACTGCTTATTGTAAAATGCAAGAGAGAAGTAAGTTAAAGACAGAATTTGAAACGAAAAGGAAAGCAGAATGTGAAGATTTGGAAAACTCTCAGCCTGGCCATGTAAAGCCTAAAAGAACGTGTTAAGGAAAGTAAACCAAGGTTGTGTCCAACAATCCGCTGATAAGATTAGTATGGAGAGAGGGAAGCCCTGGAAGACCTTTTGGAGATCTTTGAGGCTGCCAGTCTTATCACAGGCCCAGAGTGCTAGGACTTTTAGGGCAGAATTGTTATAAACAATGGGCTCAGGGAGTTTGTAGAACCTCAGAGCTCAATGCCCAGGACTGTCTTAAGTCTCTGCTCCCTGCAGTCTGGTACAGGGCTCCTTGGCTGCCCAAGTTGTGGCTTAAGTGGGCCCAGGGGTATAGAGGCCATAAATTATGGTGGTGTTCACCTAGTGCTGACTCTGCATGCTCACAGAGTGCAAGAGCTGGGCAGGCATGGCTACCTTCACCTAGGTTCCAAAGATGCCACAGAGAGCTGTTAGTAGGGCAATGCTTAGTGGAGCTGTGGGGGAAGGGCCTCTCCCAAGACTTCAGAACTGTAGAGCCACCAGTCAGCAACTCCAGCCTGGGAGAGCTGAAGGTGCAAGACTCCAACCAGTATGAGCTGTGGCATGGGCTGTTCCTAGCAAAGTCCTGGGGATGGGACCCCCTAGGGATGTGGGTATCCAACCCAGAAGATGGGACATGGAGTTAAAAAAGATTATTCTCAAACTTTGAGATTTAATGTTTGCCCTGTTGAGTTTTGAACTTTATAGGGATCTATTACTGATTTCTTTTTCCAATTTCTCCTTTTGGGAATGGAAATGGCTATCCTATGCCTGTCCCTCTATTGTATTTTGGAAGCACACAACTTGCTTGATTTAACAGGCTCTCAGCTAGATAGCAATTTGCCTTGTGGTGAATGACACAAAGCTTTGAGTCTCACCCATAACTGATTTAGATGGTGTGCAGATGAGACTTTGGACTCATTAATTAATTTTGGATTAATTCATCCAATTAATTAATTAAACTAATTTGGGGATCCAGGGGAAGAGTGCTATGGTTAGAATGTTTTTATCCCCTTTAAAATTCATGTTTGAACTTAATCCCCAATGTAACAGTTCTAAGTGGTGTGGCCTTTAGGAGGTGATTGGGTCATGTAGGTTTTGCTCTCATGAATGGGATTAGATGCTCTTCTAAATGGGCTTGATGGAAGGAGTTTGCCATTTCTTTAAATCCCTTCTGCTATGTGAGGACACCTACTTGGCACCATCTGTAAGGAACAAGACTTCACCAGACACTGAACCCGCTGGCACCTTTATCTTGCACTTCCCACCCTCCGGATCTGTGAGAAATAAACTTCTATTTTTTAAAAAATAGATTACCCAGTCTCAAGTCTCTTGTTATAGTAGCATAAACAGATGAAGACAATAGTTAAAGATGGGACTGTGATCTTTTTGTATAGGAGTATAAGTTCAGCAAGGAACTCACCACAAAGGTTTGTACTTTATAGGATCACTAAGTCACTGTTGAATAATTAAAGGCAGTATCTGAGTAGCCAATTTCCTGTGTCATCACGAAGATAAGGCTTAGCTGTCACCATGGCATCTTGCACTTGCCCATATTATGGAGACTATTGGCTACTGAACAAACTGTGCTATTGGTAAAGTCCCTTTATAGCAGGCAAATACTCTTTCATTTGTGAATTTATTCACTCCATATTTACCTCCTCCAACTTTGGCTTCTATTTGTTCAAAATTGGTAGACAAAAGTTGATATGACTTATTCTGTCACCTTTTCTGGAGATATTATTTACAGTTCATTAGTAGATTTGTAGATGACACAAGTTTGACATACTAAGATATAAATTCCCAGTAGTAGTATTATAGACATTTGATTGAGTAGTGTTTAGGTTACTTTCCTCAAAATCATTATCTCTGATGTTTTCTCAAAATCACACTTCAAAGAGGATGATTTACTTCTGGGGCAACACTGCAGGTAGTTCTGCCCTATCTCAACAATAAATACAAAAGAGAAACAACAACAACAGACTCCAAAATTACCAATATTGCATCATCAGTAAAAGTCACTGTTTGTGGAGTTAAACTGCCTTTGTTAAATTCTAGCTTCTACAAAAATGGAAAAATTATCCAGGTGTGGTGATGTGTGCCTGTAGTCTCAGCTACTTGGGAGGCTGAGGTGGGAGGATTGCTTGAGCCAGAGAGACTGAGGCTGCAGTGAACCATGATCGTGCCATACACTCCAGCCTGAGTGATAGAGGAGACCCCCATCTCAAAAAAAAAAAAAAGAAAAAAAGAAAAAAAAATTTCTGGCCTCCATTACCTTCTTGCTTATGCCTCCTTCAAGTTACTTAACCTCTTCATGCCACAGTTTCCTCATCTATAAAGTGAAAATAATAGTAACATCAATTTCGTAGTGTTGGGAGGATTTAACTAGTTAATAAAGTTAATATACCAAGCATTTAGAAGTGTCTAGCCTATATATACAAAGTGCACAATAAATACTGGTTTTGTTATGGTTCTTTCTCTCTTTATTTTCATTTAGGAATTAATATCTTTCTCATAAAAAAGGTTTATTTCACTCTGCTCACATATTTAGGACACTTTGAAATTCTTACTTCTCTGAAAATGATTCCAATCTTTGCTTCTTGCAGTGACCAGCATTTTGAGTGAGAGTCCATTCTGTATTTAATAAAATAAAGTATTTTTATGAAATAGAAATCAGAATACTTTGTATATTTATTTCCAGAAATTATTTTTTAGGTCACAAAAGTGTAAAGTCACAGAGAGAATTCAATACAACTATGGTGTTAGGGTTAAAAATATGATGTTTGATTTGAGTTGATCATAATATAAAGATGAAATTCTACTACACATGTAAAAAGAGTGTCTTCTTGGAATAGTCCACAAATAGTGTATGCAAAATAAGTTTAAGAAATCTAAAAGAAAATGAAACATAATAACTTTTATAGCAATTTATCTTCAAAATTAATTTTAGTAGCTCTATAGGAAAATGGAAGTTGTTTAGTTATCACTAATTGCTTACCATGTATCAGGCAATGTGCTAAGCACTTCACATGGATTATTTTATTTAATCATCAGAATGAGCCTTTGAAGTAGATGTTATTAAAGCCCTATTATATGTGGAAAGGGGGCCTCAAAGGGATAAAGTCTCAGCCAAGATTCTAAGCAGAGTCATTGACTCCTGCTTCTGGCTTCTGAAGCAGTTTGCTATAGTGTCCTGACATTTTTTTTTTTTTTTTTGCTTATTGCAATGTAGTCAAATGTATCCATTTTTTCTTTTATACCTATATTTTGTTTCTTGTTTAATAAGACCTTTTTGATCCAAAGATTATACATGTGTTCACTTTTGCTTACTTTAAAAAATTCTTATTTTATATTTAGATCAGAAATCCATCAAGAATTTTGTATGTGTGTTTGTAGTGTGTTATAAGGATCTATTTTTTTTCCTTCAGTGAAGAACCAATTGTCCCAACAAGATTTTTTGAATTGTTAACCCATTTGTCAAATTCATTTAAAATGCCATTTTAATCTTAAATGTGTATATGTGTTCGTGTGTGTGTGTGTGTGTGTGTGTGTGTGTGTTTCTGGACTTCTTCCATGACTCTAGCTGTCTGTCAATAAGCTTTTATTGTACTATTTTAACAGTAGTTTTTAAATATAATTTGCTATCAAGTAGAGGAAATCCTTAGCATTGTTCTTTTCACATTTGTCTGGACTGTTCTCACACGTTACAACCAGATATATTTTGAGAATCTACTCCTTGAAGGCAAGAGGCCAGTCAGATTCCTCTTTGGATTTACCCACAGTGCTTGTTACTTATCTGTTGTTTCTCTGCTTAAGCCCATCCTTTTATATTTTGTGCTGTGAGGTAAAATACATTTTCTAGACTCTATATGAGCTTAGTTTTCTCCCTGTTTGTGGCCATGAGGCACTGGAGGGTCATTTTCCACTTGTGTTTCCAGAGACAAAAGACAGTGAAGGCTCTCATTTCCTATTTCACCTGGTGCTCCCATCATGATCTGGTCCATGCCATTCAGTGAGCTGAGCACCAACTATGCCATACCTGCTCAGTGGCTGATGTACCATTTGTGCCTCCAACCATCCCACTCTCTGCCTTCTGAACACCAGCTGTGTCCTATTATGTTGCAGACTGAGCATCCATGTGGGGGGGTCTCTCTTAGACATCACCATCCCCACTGCAGGCATTTTCCTCAGAAGTAGCCATGAGTCCACTCTCAGAGTTTCAAGCACCAATCCTATAGGGGCTTCCCCTTTAATCTTCTGCTTTCTGGTAACACCTTCCATTTCATTTCCCCAGCCTAAAAGTTGCTGACAGCTTCCTATACATTCAATCTCTTGTCACTTTTCTTCTTTGCTTTTTCAGAATTCCAATACCCATGTAACTAATTATCCCTAATGAACGTTCTCTCTCAGTAATACCTAGTGTGGTTTTTGCTTTACTGCCTTGTCTTTGACCTATTTACCTACAGTTCCTATTTCAATGCATATTAGCAGTAAATCTGATATGTTTAAATTGAATCCTAAATCTAATTATCTATTGTAATTTTTCCTTGGTTCAGTATTTTGGTTAACATTTTGAATACTCAAACACTTTCATTTCATTATTTTTAATGTAATAATTCAAATAATTACAAAAGCCTTTTTTTTCTTCCCTCCCTAAATTTTAATGATTCTGGATAGACTTTTTTTTTTTTTTGCAGTATAACCAGGCCAAAAGTTAAAATGGAAAATATTTGTTATTCAAAAGTATTTTTTATGAATGTCAAAGTTAATTTTGTATCTCATCTTAGAATAAGACAACATAAAAAATGTTTATTCCTTTTTTAGATAATGGTTCAAAAAAATCTTTTTGGTAGTACCTACAAACCAGACCAATTAAACTTTGGCTTATGTATATTTATGAGGCAGGCACTTTAAAAAAAAGAAAATAAGATACCTGTATGACTTAATGGGATTTAAATACCATTAAGGAAAACTGCTTTTAAGTTTAAAAAAGAACAGATGAGAAAATTCACATGGTATTTTGGATATAATTCCAGCACAAAGCAGAAATGTAAAAACAGAAAACAGGCCAAAAATTGGACTGAAATGTTAAAAAACAATTATGTGTACTGCACAAATTCCAGTAGTTTTACAAAAGTAAATAGTGTGGTATTAAAGGGTGCATACTATCATATAATACATATTTGTATGTTTTATCTATATCTTAAAAAGATATATATTTGCATATATACATAGCCAATCACCCACTCGACAGATGTGTTAGCAGGTTTTGATGACTTGTGCAAAACATTAAGAAGTAATTAGGAAAGCATCCAAAGCTAGTCAGCACATTAATAGGTACAGAAAGTTCATATTGGATTTCCTTATATTTGCTAGGTACTCTCATTTTCTGAGAATGGGTCAATTCTTTCAACAGTTACAAATCAGCTTAATGTGTAAAATAATCACACAGTGTCACGGATTCATGCAAAAAAGCCCTTCCTTCACTCTTTTGCTTCTTATTTGTAGACTATTTTGGGTGTGGTGATTGCATGCCATTTAGTATTTTTCATAAATTTGCACATTCAAAAAAGCAGGTGATTAACCTCCTTTTAACTGTTTGAGTCCCAGAGTGTCCAAAATGATGTATACCCAAATCTTTTCCCTGACACTAAATGTAATAAAATCTTGTGGCTTAAGCCAAGTGAGTTGACATATTTTTTTGAATGAAAAACATTATTTTACCTATGAAAATGTAGTTATTAATAGAATAATAGTAGATTCTTCATTACATAATCATTTGCACTTGCTCACAGCACAAAACATGGTCTTATGATACAGGATATTATGAAGAAACAGAACGAACAAGAGACACAGGGTGACTTCTTGAATATGGTTAGTATTTCAAAACCCTTATGAATGGAATGGAGCAATTTCTGGTTACTGTTATAGCTGTAAAATCAGGTCAACATTTTAAATTGATTTGCCGTTCATTTCTTTAAATTTCTACTAAAATTTTAAACAAGGTAAAGTTTAAAAATGGGTAAAAGAGATGTTTCCAAAAATTAACATGTAAATCTCTGCATTTGGAAATGCTAAAGTCAAAATTGTATATGATTATAAACGTGATCTAAAACATTCATATTACTTGGCATATTCTTATAGTCAAAGTCAAATTGTTTATTAATTAGCTATAATTCAGTTATAGCACACATTTTTTTGAAATTGCTTTACTTCTCCACTGATCACTAGTGGTAGAGAAAGGGTCACAATTTGAGAAAACCTGTCATGTCTACCAATGGCTCATAACACCACAGAGCACAAGTAGCAATGAGATGGGGTGATTGTCTGGCTAATTGTATCAATGTAGTCTGCAGACAGTAATTCAGAAGAGGAAAAAACCTTTAGGATTTAACATATTGAGTTTGTCTCTCTATTGATCAAATTTATTGGATGATTTCCAAATCTCCACTTTACTGAGTATTTTATTGACACAACCTTTGACCGAGAAGCATAGAGATTTCAAAATGCCTGTTCTTATAGACAGAAAATCAATTTAGTTATTTTAATAAATATAATTGTTTGAGCAAAATAGTTGGCTGAACAATTAAAGGATAGCTGCTATCATTACTTGGTATGTATAGGACAGGAAACTGGAATTGAACATGGAGGAAACAGATTTTCAAGACTGACGGTGCCATGAGGGAATAGTATTAAAGCAAAAGAACCAATATAATAATTTTGCATTTATTCAGGAATATTACATTAGAAAAACAGAGTAGACTTCAGATGTTTATTGTACATTTTTATGTAATTCAGTAACAGATAAGACAAAATATGAATTTTATACTCTTACTTCAAAGAAACATTTTCTTGAGAAGACAATGATTAAGTTGTCATTAGAAGACTATCAAGGCTATGCTGACTTTTTCAAGATGGCATGGGTTAGTCATAGAGAGCCAGACTTCTTACGCTGGAACCTCAGCTTTACCTCTTACTGCTCATTTAGCTTCTCTGTGTCTCAGTTTCCTCTTTTGCAAAATTAGAAAAATAATGGCACTTGTCTTATAAAGTGGCCGTGATGATGTAGTAAGTTAACAGATAGAGAAGTAAGTTAACGCATTGAAATGAACACTTAGAGGAGAAAGCACTCAATAAATTTTAGTGATTTTTATGTTCTCATCTTGAAAGAACAAATATATACTGTATTCATTTCCTAGTGAATTATCATAATGTCCTAAAAGCAACTTTCTAGGACATAATTTTAAGTTAAAAATGTTCATTTGATAGTTTTGATCATTTTAGCTTTCATTTCTTTTACTTGATTAGAAAAATATTATTACTATACTTCCATTAATGGCATGATTAGAAGTGAGAAAAATATACATAAACATCTCTACATTAGGACAAAGGAGTAATGCAAAAAAAGTAAGTTTAACTTATGCTATTATAATCCCTGAAACTACACTGTACACAGATGACAACCATTAAGTATGAGCTTATCCAAAGATCTAACTTTAAATCTTTTAAAAGCACTCTGAAAAGATTAAATGAATTTTCTGACTACTTCTCTTATGGTAGATCTGATTCAACTACATTCAAGTGCAATAAAAAAAGCATATTTCAAAAGTAACCTTTTGAGCAATATCTGGAAATACTTGCTTTTGAGTGTAATCTGAGCATTCCTGAAATCCACAATCTGAACAGTCATATAAATGTGAACATTTATTTGAAAGCTTGGTTAATTAAGAACAATAACATTAGAACTAAGCCAATGCTTTTAAATTCCATGTCTCCTCAAAAATAAGCATATATGTTCCAATGATATTTGTTCTGGGCACTGGTAATTCAGATCATCATGTAATCTTTTTTAATGCCCATATGCAGATATAATATAAACTATTTGCTATTTAGTAATGCTATTTTACATAATTAAGTCATCATGGCTTTATTTTTTCAACAGAAGAATGAAAGCATATCTACACGCTATAACATGACCAAACTGTATCAAATTTTGTCTCCAAATGGGGACAGAAGCATTGGTATGTGTGCATTTTTATTAGAGCAGAAGTCAATCCAAAATATAATCTCTTGAGTTCAATTATAAAAGCCATATGCTTGAGTGAATGCATGGTAAAAATGTGCAACTTCATTACACATTAGAGGCACTACAAATTTCGGCTTTGATTCAAAAACACTCAGACTGCTAATGTGGCATATACTACTAAAAGGCTAATATCATTGCTGTGTGGAGTGATGTAAATGGGGAAGTGGAAACATCTGTATTTTCTCTGCTTTAAGGACATGTTCTTTTCATCCAAGGGCATATCTGTGTAGAGGATAAAGCCTATAATAACAAAGAATGCTTATATTTTGATTCCTAGTGAAGAATGATAACGAAGAAAAAATACACAGGGCCATTGGAATTAGAAAAGTTATAGCTTAACCACTAGTGCCAATATAAACTTATTCTTATGGTCTGAAGTGTTCTTACTGCTTTTCTCAGATGAACTAAAGATGAACATCTTTAGGCGGGTCTTTAGAAAACTGAGATGAGTACTAAGTGAGGAGAGCAGCCTCAAGTACCTGTAAAAGAAAAATGGAAAAAATTCTACAAAATCTTTGGGTTGATAAATCTGAAGACTCAGTGAGACATCAAGAAATGTCAAGATGAAAATGTATTTTAATGGTATACAAATGGTAACTAGAGGACTAGTTAATTCTCAATAATTAGCTTATGCTTAAAAGATGTGTATTCAGTAGTTCCTGTACTTAAAAACTATCTCCAAGAACAAAAGTTTCAACTTTCGTTCTTTTGTATTTCTAGAGGAAGCTAATATGAAGCAATAAACTAGAAGATGAAGTTTGAGAAATCCAAGTTCCAGCTCAACTAGCTGGCTTGGGAATCTGAAAAAGTTGAAATTCTCATTTGCCTATGTAGAAAGCAGACATACACTACCTCATAGAACCATTGAAACTTATTGATATGTGCAAATCATTTTGAACTCATTAAAATGATTTTTTAATATGTCATGTATCGCTTTATATTTTTTCTATATTTATTCTTTAAGAGACTGTGGTGGACAGACTTGAAAGCAGCCCCATGATCATCACCTCCCAGTGTTCATGCATTTGTATAATTCCCTCCCCTTCATATGGGCAGGACATGTGACTTGCTTCTAACCAATGGATTACAAAAAAGGGCAATGGAATAAAAGTGATTACGTGTATGTGATTCCACAAGAGTGTAACATTTGTCTGCTAGAGACTCTACATGACTGTCTTTGAAGAGGCAGACTGCCATGAATCCTACAGCTGCAAGGAAATAAATTCTGCCCACAATCTGAGGGTTCTTGAAAGTAGGCTTTTCCCCTGGTGAGCCTCTGATGAGACCACAGTCTTGGATAACATTTTGAGTGGAGCCTTTTGAGACCCTAAGCAGAGGAGGACCCAGCTAAGTTGTGCCCAGGTTCCCGACCCATGGAAACCTTGAGATTATAATTGTATGTCATTTTAACCTGCTAAGTTTGTGGTCATTTGTTACACAGCAATAAAAACCTAATATGCAGATATTGCATGCATATGTTTATTGGAATATAGCACATTTGTGTATTAATTTATACATTTAGTTGGATAAGTTTATGTAGCTCACAACCCCTTTCCTGTGTAATTGAGTTATTGCTGCCATCCCAGCATAGGAATGGCCTCCAGGAATGTCCTGGCGCCTGCTGTACCAACTCACTCAGCAGCTGGACTACGGTGGGAAGAATTGTAGTGGAGGAGAAATAAAGTGTGAAATGTATGGAGCCAATGTTAGTCTGTGGAAATTCATCAAAACCTTATATCTCATATATGAAATAAACCTGAAAAAAATTTCCCCAAATTTGACAATTCTAACAAGTTGTGAAGCTGAGAGTATATTTCCTGAGGTAAAAATAAAAAGGATTTTTTGGTCAACCATTTCAGGGGAGAAGTTGGATATCTTTCTATTCTCGTTATAGAAAACAATATATCAAGATCATTGTTATGTTAAGAGGCAATAAAAAATTATGTAGTCAAAACTGTAAGAGAACAAAATTATGGAGGAGTTGTATTGTTTTCTGTCCTTTGTTGATATTGGCGGTATTTTTGAGCTTTCAATATTGGTAATATTTTATAATTTATTTTGCATCCTAAATAATATTTACTTTCTTTTTTTATTTTATTATTATTATACTTTAAGTTTTAGGGTACATGTGCACAATGTGCAGGTTTGTTATGTATGTATACATGTGCCATGTTGGTGTGCTGCACCCATTAACTCGTCATTTAGCATTAGGTATATTCCCTAATGCTATCCCTCCCCCCTCCCCCCACCCCACAACAGTCCCTGGTGTGTGATGTTCCCCTTCCTGTGTCCATGTGTTCTCATTGTTCAATTCCCACCTATGAGTGAGAACATGCGGTGTTTGGTTTTTTGTACTTGCGATAGTTCGCTGAGAATGATGGTTTCCAGTTTCATCCATGTCCCTACAAAGCACATGAACTCTTCATTTTTTATGGCTGCATAGTATTCCATGGTGTATATGTGCCACATTTTCTTAATCCAGTCTATCGTTGTTGGACATTTGGGTTGGTTCCAAGTCTTTGCTATTATGAATAGTGCCGCAATAAACAGACGTGTGCATGTGTCTTTATAGCAGCATGATTTATAATCCTGTGGGTATATACCCCGTAATGGGATGGCTGGGTCAAATAGTATTTCTAGTTCTAGATCCCTGAGGAATCGCCACACTGACTTCCACAATGGTTGAACTAGTTTACAGTCCCACCAACAGTGTAAAAGTGTTCCTATTCATATCTAATTATAATTATACTCCTTTTTCAATGGGGATCCAAAATTGTATAAGCTTCAAGTTCCATAAAACCTAAATTCATCTCCACATGCAAAGAAAGAGAATATTTTTAAATGATACTAGCAGCTACAGTAAGATGAAGGCAGATAATGGTCCACTAGAATAGGCAACATAAAATCACTATTTGTTAGACAAGAATGATTTTAGAGGGGTGGTATGGCCAGAAAACAGAGGAAGAGAATGGAAAATGATGAGAAGTGCTGTAGCATGGTGACAGTGGGTATCCACAAGTTCTGTGAACAGTTTGGCACTGAGATTTGGCAAATAGAGTAGGTGGCAGATGGAAGTGAATGTGAGGCCATTGGAGTTTTCTGTTAGAAGTCTAACTTTGTATGCTGCTAGGAATGCTCCAATAGAAAGGGAGAAATTTATAATTTAGGTTACACAGAGGTAGCTGCATATGGTAGCCATCCTCCAAGATGACTCACTCCCAAGGATCCAATCTCTTGGCATTCACAACCTTGTGTGGACCTCTTCCAGTTCCATCAGGGTTGGTTTGTGTGACTAAGACTATACAACAGAAATGATGGGGTAGTAGCTTCCAAAATTGGGTTATACTAGAATACAGCTCCCACTTGGTCTCTCTCTCTCTCTCTCTATTTTTCTCTCTCTCTCATTATTTGTTCTGGGGAAAGTAAGCTTCTATCTTGTGAGCAACCCTGTGGAGAGGCTTAAGGGGTGGAGAATTGAGAACTGAGACCTCCAATGAGAAACTGACCAATGGTCATGTGCATGAGCTTGGAAGTGGATCCTCAGTCCCAGCCCATCAGTGCTACGATGGAAGTCCTAGCTGATAACTTGGCTGCAAACTTGTGAGAGATCTCACCCAGATTCATTCCAATTAAGCCACTCTTGGATTCTTGACCCTTAGATACTGGAGATAGCAAATGTTTGTTATTTTGAGCTGTGGTATTGCAGAATAATCATTTATGCAGCAATAGATAACTAATGCACCACAAGAGTGAAGTCCTTGAGAAGACAAACTAGGAAGTGATATATAGTATAACTGGATACATTGGATGTTAATAGAGACAGGGATCTGTCTTTCTGTTTAACAGGAGAGAAGATAGAGCATATGGGTATGGATATACCTAAGTTGGTAGATGTGTCTGCTACATTACTAGAAAATTTTATTTTTATCAATTTCATTTTCTCAAGTATGAGGCAAGATTTTAAATTGTGAGTACCTTGAAGGGGAGGCAGAAGGGATTATATGCTTAAGAACTGTAGAGGAAAAAAAAAGAAATAGTCACCTTGGAGAATGAGAAAGAATACTAAGCAGAAAAATATAATAGGGTGAGGTTAGTGTTGAATTCTGTTCTGAGGTTTGTGTGTTGTATTTAAAACAATTTCAGTCAACCAATTTTGTGATTTTTTCCCCCAGCAATATGTAGTTGCTTGGAGAAAGCATAGAGTACATCTGGGTTTAACTGAAGTCACTGTTTGCTAAATGAATGCAATGAAAGAAGAGAGGACAGGGAATTGAGGGTATTTTGCAAAGAAAGAACTTCAATGTTGGCTCTTGGAATCTCACCCAGGAAAGAGAAGGAAGAACAAGAGGATGAGCAACAGTGAAAGAGTGGTGGTGTAGATTATGAATTGGAGCTCTTGCTAAGTGTGGTTGAACAAGGTAGTACCTGAGAGGAGGAAATAAAATGAGCTAAGCTAATGAAGGGGTGACTAATTTGAAGACAAGAATTCAGGATGTGGTAATGGAATGTGTGGCTAAGGTGGAGTAGGGCAGGGTGGGGAAATGTATTGAGGTTTTGATTAGGAGAGACTGATTAGTGGAATTAAATTAATAAGTTCAAGAGAAAAAAAAAGCAACGGTGAATTCTTGAGCAGAGAATACTTGCAGAAATGTGGGATGATAGACATTAGTTAACCACAAGAGTGAGAGGGCCAAGGCTATTGTAGTGGTCTGAGGAAATGGAATTCAGAGTCTCAGTGGATGCCAAACCATCTAGAAAATGGTTCTTGTTACCTTGGCAATGGAAGTCAAACCTTAACTAATGATCTTTTACTGAGAAAACTCACAAGCAAATGAAGTGAAGAGTAATTGGAGTCAGGCTATACATTGCTTCCTTAGTTTCACCTTGCATGACAGCTTGGAAAGCAGTTTGGACATAAAAAATGATTATCTCAAGCCTCCATGCTTGAGAGTTCTGGGGGCTGCTGACCAGAGGTTTTCCTTATTATTATTATTTTGGATTTTTTTTTTTTTTTTTGAGACGGAATCTCTGTTGCCTGGGCTGGAGTGCAGTTGTGCGACCTCAGCTCACTGCAACCTCTGCCTCCTGGGTGCAAGCAGTTCTCCTGTCTCAGCCTCCAGAGTAACTGGGACTAAAAGTGCATGCCACCATGCCCAGCTAATTTTTGTATTTTTAATAGAGGTGGGGTTTCACCATATTGGTCAGACTGGTCTTGAACTCCTGACCTCAGGTGATCCACCTGCCTCAGCATCCCAAAGTGCTGGGATTACAGGCGTGAGACACCGTGCCTGGCCATTATTATTATTTTGAGTAAGCCAGTGCCATTGCATTCAGCAGCAGCCCTGAGCAGAGCATAAATTTGTTGAGGTTTGTAAAATCTAGCCAGAAGCTAATTAAAATGCTGCCTCTCCTAGCCTTTACTATTTCCCAACAAGTTTGGGCTCTCCTAGAGGTGGGAGTGAACACAGTGGTCAACAATATAATTCAGCACTTGTTTAAGCCCATAGTAGGCACTTAAAATGTTGTTGGATAATTAAGTCAATAGTAAGTGTGGATTGACAAAGCAGATTTTCCTTCTCACTGGGGACATATCAGAAGAGTCTAGGGATAAGAATACATACAATTTGAAAAAACACTTTGAATCTCATAATATAATTTTACATTTAGAAAATAGAAATGTGTCCATTTTTATTATAAAATAATGTGATGCACAAAGTACCAAAATAATATAACAAATAACCATGTATATATTGCCCACTTAAGAATTAAGGAAAACAGACATAATTGAAACACTCTGAGCTTGAATCCAATCACTTCTTTCCAAGAAGTAGTAGTTTTCTCAGTCTTACTTATTATCCTCCAATCTCTTTTTATAAGTTTTTAAATTATATATCTAAAAACAAAATATTCTCTGGCTTTACATGTTTCTAAACTATGCAAATGGCTTCATACAGTATGCACCATTCTGCAACTTGTTTTCATTGCCCTCATTATTATGTTTTTAGATTTATTCATGCTGTTGCATATAGCTCTGGCTCATTCATATTGATTGATGAATAGCTGCTATGGTTTGAATATGTCCCCCAAAATTCATGTGTTGAAAACTTGATCCCCATTGTGGAGGTGTTAGGTGAGGTCTTTAAGAGGTGTTTAGGTCAAGAGGTCTCTACCCTCACAAATAGATTAATGCTGCTGTCAAGGAAATGTGTTTGTTGTAAAAAGATGAGTTCGGCCTCTGCTTTCTCTTTTGCCCTCTTTTTGCCCTTCTGACTTCCACCAGTGATGATGCAACAGGAGGGCTCTCACAAGATGCAACTGTTTGTTCTTGGACTTCCCAGCCTCCAGAACTGTGAAAATAAATTTCTGTTCACTATCCCATCTGTGATATTCTGATATGGCAGCATGAAATGGACTAAAATAATAAAATTCCACCCTCTGCATCTATCATAATGAATATATCTGCTCTCCTGTTGATGAATATTTATTTATAGTTTTTCAATACTGATGGAGAGGCTGCAATGAGCACTTTTAGAATTTATCTGAATGAACATGACTGATCGTGAAATTGCTGGGTCCTAGTTCATGCATATCTTAAACTTTCTGATATTTGGTAAACTGTTCACTAAAGTGGTTGTATCACTTTACACTCCCCTCCATAACAGTCTTTGTTTCTAGATATCCTCTCCAGTATTTTACAAATTTTAGTCTGATGGTTCTGAGATGGAACTTCATTATTTTAATTTAAAGTTCCCTGACAACATGTAATTTTAATAAAAACAAACTCTAGAGTGCCAAGTTCAACAAACATTTTTTTATTTTTATTTTATTTTTTAGCTGGTAGGGTAACTCAATAGGCTGTCTCTGAGGTTCTTCCTGTATGAGTGAAGTTGACATGCTCCCCTAGGGAGATGTATGGAATCTCCTAAGGTGAAACATGAGGTGCTTTGATAGCTAAAGATATCTTGGTTTTAAAAGGTAGAGAAATGCTGGGTAGGAAAAGCAAGGCCAAATGGAATCATATTACTTCTATCAGTACAGGATAAAACAAAGGCAAGATTGGGGCAATTAAAAAGTAAGAAGTGATTTAAGATGAAGGGGAGAGAATGAGAATAAAACGAGCTTCTTGAAATTATGAGTGTTACCTTGGTTTCTTTTGAGTCTGCCTATTTACATCTTATTCTTAGTTTACCCTTTAAAGTCACTGGATTATGCAATTATATCTTACTTAGGGCAAGTGGCTGCTGATAATAATCACAGAATCATAGAATTGTAGAATGGGTAGAAATCTTAGGCGTTGTTTCATTTTATAAGTGAGAAACTGAAGTACAAAGAACAGTTGCACAGTCATAAGAAACAGGTTTTAAAGAAAATTATTGGAGGAAGAGACAACTAGGGCTCTCTACTTATTGGTCCATGTTTATTGTGGAATTAGCCTGATTACCAATATTGATGAAAGAAACCCCTTCTACAACTATAAAATGATGGTTGAGAGCACAGGCTTAAGATCACAGATGCCTGAGCTTGACTCCCAGCTCAGCAAATACAAAATGTATAATCTTGATCAAGTAACTTGACTTCCCCAGCCTCAGTCATCTCATTTGAAAAACAGGGAAAATTTTCATTCCTACTTTTTCTGGTATCATGAAGAGCAGATGAGATAATATCTCACCTTCTGGTACATAGTAAACAATGAACAAAGGGTAGATATTATATTTTTATTTTAACACCTGAGTGTTTGAGACGTAATTTAGTCATTTAATGTCCTGACATGAACTGCCAAGGGCACAAGGGGGAAGGTTTCACTAGAGCTAAACAGGTCAGCAATGGCTAGTCTCCGTCATACAATAGCATGGGATGTCTTTAACTATATTTTTAACCCGAATTTAGTAAGTTTTTAAATGTAATCCTCTGAAAGGTTCTCTATTTGCTTAGCTATGTGTTCCTTTTCTAGTGAAGCTATCTATTATACAATACTTTGGAGTCTTTGGAGGAAATGGAAGCAGAGTAGTTTGTCTCCCTATGTCTCTAGTGTATTTCTTTATGGCTGGATTTAGATGATTGAATTTATCTGTTTCCTTTCTACTCAAACCTTTTATTTCTAAACTCTAAAATACACCTACCTCAAATTGTTCCATTATTTTTGAAAATAGAATGGTAGCCACTTAAAAATAATGCTGAATATTTTTACGTATGCCATCTCTTTTATGTACCCCCAAATGCCTTAAATTTTAATAATTCATCTTACCATTATTTTGTCTTGCTTTTATGTCTATTGCTGGCTTCTGTTTCAAGATAGCTGACTAAGCACATGTATACACATAAGTTAACCTTTTCTCTCTCTCAAAATCCTACTGAAACAAAAACATGAAAAATAATAAGAAGTCTATAATCGGTGCAGAAAAAAATGAAATATTTCATCAGTGGACAACTACACTGAGAAAGCTGTAAAAGCTCTAAAGCTGACAGATGAGATTTTTCCCTTGTCCCAACAAAGCTAAAGAACCACTCGTATGGTACAAATATAATGTAGTACTGCTAAAATGGTAGGTTTTCTCAGGAGGACATTGAGCCAGAGCCAGGACTGGGGTGAGCTGAATGAAGTGAACTGAATATAAAATTTGAGAGGGTGTCCCCCAAAAACTTGAAAATATTTTGAAAAATCAAAAGTAAGACCAAAAAATCTGTACTACTGATTTTTTGTTTTGCCTCATGCTCTGCTGTGGCTTGGCACAGTACCATCAGTGATTTTTGTCTTTATATAAGGTTTTGATATTTTGTCTATTATGGAATTTTGCATTACTTTTGGATCTTTTAAAGAATTGCACCAGAATATTATTTATGTTGATTACTGTGTGTTTTAGCTTAAGTTTTGTGCCTGAGGCAAGAACCTCACTCGCCTCATGAATCTCTCCTTGGTCTGGGCTATATCAGGAGTCCCCTTAAGATCAGAGGCAGCAGAAGTGGGCTCTGAGGCCATCTTTGGATATTTATTTAAAGGTTTGTAAGTCTCTTTATCAGAGCCCACTCTTAATGTGACTGACTCTGATGTTTGACTTCAGGATAAAGCTTGGAGATAAGTTATTTAAATAACGTGACAACTTGTCCATGGGGAACTTACAGAATGGGCTTCGAGCTTAGGAAGAGAAACAGAGGAGGGGTCTAAATACCTTTTGTAATATATGAGAATCACCTGTATGCCAAAGAAAATATCCCAAGTCCCTTAAGAGAAAATCAACTGAAAATATGCTCCCATCCACCAGGCCCTTTCCTGCTTATTTGCTACTGATTATTTGCTACAATCAGATGGCCTGTGAACAGAACCCACATACCTTGCCTGGGGAACAGTGATATTTACTTGAACTGGGGAAGCCTTATTTAGTCCTTGGTATAGATCAATCATCATGAACATGAGAAAAGTCAACATATCATAAAGATATACCTATTATTCATTTTATATATATATATATATATATACCTATATATATAATTTATTATATAAAATGATAAACTCTCACCTTACAAAGTGAAGTTGATACCAGAAATAGAAGAAAAATTTAAAATAGATGTTCATATCCTCAGAGATTCGAGAGGATACGCAATTCATAAAATAAGAATAGGCTGCTGCATGCAAATGAGTTAGTCAATGTTTGGAAAAGCTTAGTGCAAATTCCAGATAATTTCAATACAAAGCCAGAAGAGCAGTGAAATAGGTGAATCACAACCTGAGTTTAAGTTTCATAAAAAAAGGATAGCTTTATTCCTTATAGTATCTCTAACACTTAGATGAGCTCAGTACGTTTTGATCTTATCTTGTCAGAGCAACAGGATAGAGTTACTGTAGTACATAGTGCCATCATTTTCAGTTATTCTCTACCCTCTCTGTTGCCATGTGACATAAAGCACCATCTTATAGGGGGAGCTTATGTCCCAACCCCTTTGATATTAGGCTTGGCCATGTGACTTGCTTTGGCTAATGGGCAGTGAGTAAACATGAAATATACCACATTCAATCAGAAGTTTTGAGAATCTCGAGTGCCTTAGTCTGGTATTTTTCTGTTGCAAAAGAATGGCATGTCCTTTTCAGATCTGCTCCTGCAGCCTAGATTCTGGAATGAAAAAAATATATATATGTCATAGAGCCACAGTCAACCCGTTAAAATTGACATAAAACCTAAGAGAGAAATGGGCTTTTTGTGGTAACCCACTGAGGCCTGGAGGTTATTTGTCATGAAGCAAAGCTGATTAATAAAGTTACTGATTGATTTTGATGTTGTTAGGAAAATTTATCCAGAACTTTTAAAATTTATAATATATGGTACTAGCTAGAAAAAATATAGTTAGAATTATGTATTTCAAAAAAACAAGAATGAAATAAAATGTGACCAAACAATAATTAGGAAAGGAAAAGCTAAAGAAGCAAAATGATAAGAAACAGAAAACGGAATAAGAGAAAAATAAGGGAAGCTAGTAGAAATAAGAATGCATTTTAGAAATAATATAAATGCATTAAAATTCCTTATTTAGGTTATTGAGAAATAAAAATTAAAATCTGGTAATGTAAGCACTGAATTTGTTGGTTTCAGATTGTAACTCTTAGCATTCCAAAATTAAGTTTTAATGAAGATTTAAACATATTTATGCAACATTTGAATGCTTTAAAAAGTGCTCAACAGTAGTCATTTTCATTATCCCAATCAATTTGCTTAAGAAAAAAAAAAAAGCCAGGTGTGGTAGCTCATGCCTATAATCCCAGTACTTTGGGAGGCTGAGGCAGGAGGATTTCTTGAGGCCAGGAGTTTGAGACCAGCATGGGCCAAAAGCAAGACCCCATCTGTACAAAAAGTAAATTTGCCAGGTGCGGTGGTACACACCTGTAGTCTTAGCTGCTTGGGAGGCTGAGATGGGAGGATCACTTGAGTCCCGGAGTTCAAGGCTGCAGTGAACTATGATCATGCTACTGCACTCCAGCCTGAGTGACAGAGTGAGAAGTCATGTCCAAAAAAAAAAAAAAAAAAAAAAAGACCAAAAAACATGTGTACAAATACACATACATAAATTTATATCCTGGAAAATCTCTGAAGATGGAACATTTTCTCTATGATTATCTTTCATACTATTTAATTGAATGTGGCTGATTAACCAGAATAATGCTTTCAGAGAAATTGAGAAGTAAAGAGGAAAAAAGTGCTTTGTCTTGGTTAAGAATGAAATTATGTTCCTCAAACACCTCTTACTCTGGCAAAAACAAAACACAAGCAAAATTCACATATGCATAAGAAAAGGAATCTCACTCTTCTGGGAAAACAAAACAAAAAGAAATATACACAATTGTTTTTTTCTCAACAGTTTTCCCATGTCTCCTTATATTTACAGTCACTACATAAGGTCCTGACATAATCATTAGTAGCGTCCCCGTTCACTCTCAAAACTGCCCTGGTTAGGTTGATAAATTCCTACAATTCATGTGCCAGCCATACAATGATTTATTACCCCATATGCAATATGTGGCAATATAACCACAGAGATTTTAGCCAGAGAACTTTACTCTTATTCATAATAGTGCGCTATAGAATCCTGGAGGATACAGAGAGGAAAATGGTAGGTACACAAAATGAGTCATTCATTGACCTATAATCTAAATCTATTACTGTCATTACGTTTCTGTTTTAGTTTAGTCATCTATAAAAGAGAGATAATACATAATTTTAGTAACTTCCTAATGTTCCACTAAAAGTTGGGTAATATAGAAAAGAGACCATTTTGAGTATTATGTAGTGCTTTAAGCATGTTAAGTACATTATAATTGTCTGATAAGCATTTTTTATGCAGCTGTAAGGTACCATTATGTTCCCTGACCATCCAAACATTATTTAGAGCATTTGGAGTATTTAGCATTGTCTTTTTTCTCTTTGATAACCCTGTATATAGATTCATCAAGATAATAATGTCTTGAGGCAATAATGTAATCTACCATTTACATAAGGTAATATTATCTTTAGAACTAATTTTTGAGCTTAATTTTTATAAAAGGAGAAATCACGTGACATTATTTCATTCCTATGATTTCCTTACAACATCTTTCTTCAGATATAACCTGCAAAAAAGTCAGTCAGACCATTTTACTCTCTTTAAAGTCTGTCTGTTTCTCCCAACATAGATATAGCCTACAAAGAGCTCAAAGTTTAGTTGCCAACAAAAGACATCATGAGAAATTTCTCTGTTTTCCTAGAAATGAATTATTTATGCTATTCAATAAGTTCTTACAATGATGAAATATACTCCATCTTTATTAATGACTTTTAAATTAGAAATATGCAATAAAAGTCACAGTGAGGATCAGATTTTAATTTCAATTTCCCTACTATGCCTAATCTTCAAAGTCTTAAATTTTTACAGTCTAACTTTCCACCTACCCACATAACATGGCTCTATAAACTTAATGAACAGCCTGTTTTAACATGAGTTTTAAATTGTTTACATTTTAAACCCAGAATATTAGCATCTGAAGTGAGAGTTGATTTCACCGGACTCTGTCTTTGGTAAGGCCATTTCTTCTCTTATTTGAAGAGTATAGTTCTTTCAGTTTCGTCTCATCCTGAATACTTTCGGAAGAAAGTAAACAGGGCATAAATATGCAGAGATAAGTCATGTTTACCTTGTTCTTACCCTGCACAGATCACTGGTTTTACTAGTTACAAAAAACTACTTGTATTATATGAATAGGGATACTACTTTTTCAACATAATTTTTGAGACTGCTATACAACAGGGCACTTTAAAGAATACCGTTGTGTGCAATGATAGCTATTGGCATTGATAAGACTCTCCAGAAAGTCTGAAATAACCATCTTAATTGTTGATGTATAAAGAGAAAGAGAAGAATCTTTCCATGTGGCATCAGCTCAAAGGAGCACAGAGCCAGATGGAAATATTTCTATCATAAGATAGGCATTTCACCATTTAGGAAGGCTGAAGAAAAGGCAACAAATCAGCCACCAACAGCAAGACAATTTTTCAAAAGTAGTTAGTCCTCAAGAATAACAATATTGAGCAAATTGTCTACAAAACTCGAGCTCTTCTCTGGTAACTCTATGGCTGAGAACAATATCTATGAACTGTCTCTGGTGCACTAGAGACTTCTTTAAAGTATGGCAACCTTAACAATAAAGGGTGTTATTGCATCATTATTGCTGCAGTGCAGCTAATGAGAGGAAGGTAAATGTTGCTCCTGAAAGTGTTAATTCTGCATCTCTCCTTGCACCTGATTAACACCAAGAAGGCCTTAGGCAAAAGGGAAAGTAGGACTCTTGGGATTAAGTAATCTCATCTCTGACTCCAAGTAAACCCAAAGATTACCTGTCAACCAGATAGAAGAAAGTAGCAGTTAGGATTTGCAATCTGATATTTAAGCCCTTCTGTGGGGAAATAGATGTAAAGGTAGAAGAAAAGGAATTTGCTTCAGTTAAGCTTCATATTTCTAGAGGGCTGCTAAATCAAATTCACAACCTCTAAGACATCTAACAAGTATTCGCTTTTGCATTTAGTAAAATTCACACTTGGACTAAGAAAAAATAACATAAATTTTGAATTAAACAATATCTGCAAAAAAAAAAAGTGAAGACTTACAACCAGATAAATAGAATGTAGCCTCAGGGGATTTAAATAATAATGGCTTATAGATAGTTAGAATCTCAATTTATGGTAAATTTATTACTTGTTTATAAAGGCAAGAAATGACAGCTTATCTTCAGCTTTGAAAAGGGCTATCATGCAGAAAAGAGAGCCAACCTGTTTTACACGGCTCCAGAAGGCACCATTAAAATCCTTGAGTTGAGGTTTCAGCGAACTGATGATTTTGGCTCTATACTGAATATGAATTTACTGTTTCCCACGAAGAAAAGAGCCTCCTGTCATGAAAAGTAGTCCAACTACCCATTGACCATCTGTAAGGGATGCTGTGTAAAGAATTCTTTCATTTGGTAAGATTCTGAATTAAATCGGTACTTTTAACTTTTTGGCAACAGAAATTTTGAAAAATTGATATCTTTCTCAGATGAAAAAGATGAAATGATTCCTTGGCGAGTAAGAATTTTCACTGTTTGGGAAGAATATATTTCCACTTCAGCACCTACTGGGGCCCTTATGCTTCACTCAGAGCAGAGTGTAAGCTTACTCTCTGATTGAAAATAATGGTCTCAAAGTACTAGAGAAGATTATTTAGTTGAAAACAAACAAAAAACCCAAAAACCTTAGACTTACTGAAAATTTCCTTCATAAACTTATAGATTCATTCTTCAAAGCAAAAAAGCTGTCAACTTCAGGTTATTATGAAACTAAGTGAGCATTTTGAACTGATGATTATGTCACAAACTGGATTCCCGGATGTAGAGATTTTCTGAACAAAGGCTTGGTCTTCGTGGCAGTCAGCTCCAAGGCTGTCCCCAGTGATTTTCACCATCTGATATTTATGCCCTAGCTTGGTCTTCACCATTGAATCAAAGCTTATCAAGTAGAATACTATGGGTGAGTTCCTGTGTTTTTTTCTGAGGCTAGGTCATAAAAGGAGCCACAGCTTCCAACTTGGCCTGTTGGATCATTTGCTCTGGGGAAAACCAGTGCCATGCCATGAGGCCACTTACGCAGCTGTGTGGAGAAGTGCACCAGCAAGGAGCTGAGGCCTCCCACAAACAGCCTTGTGTCTGCGTGTCCTTGGAAGCAGATCCTCTAGTGTGGCCTAACCTTCAAAAAGATTACACTCAGCCAAAATTTGACCAAAACTTCATGAGACCCCCAGCCAAAATAGCCCAGCTAAGCTGCTCTGAAATTCCTGACCCACAGAAACTGTGAGATAATAAGTAATTATTATTTTAAGACACTATGTTTTGTG
The DNA here is from genome assembly GCF_000001405.40 of Homo sapiens. Lineage (NCBI taxonomy): Eukaryota > Metazoa > Chordata > Mammalia > Primates > Hominidae > Homo > Homo sapiens. The sequence continues at coordinate 125,789 of NT_187549.1, forward strand.
ATGATTTGTTATGCAGAAATAAAAACCCAAACACTAATATATGAGTTTCACTTGGAAATTTTCTTCTAGACACATTCACCACGTTCATGATGATTGAGGAGAGATGGCCTCAAAGATTTATAAGCTCCATGACAGCATGAGGTTACATTTGTTTTTTCACCCTTATATTCACAGTAGCTACCATAGTTCTTAGGAAAAGTTTATGTAGATTCAATAAAATTTTGTTGGATAGATGAACAAATAAACAAGATGTATATTTTGAAGAATTTAAAATGAATGAGGTCAAATTGAGTCATTTATTAGTTGTTTTATTATAAATATCAAATTTCCATTTGTAAAAAACAAATACTTTTTTGAGGAAAGAGGTAGAGAATTTTCCTAAATTATTAATTGTTTCTATAAAATATAAATAACATTTGTATTATAGTCAAGGAAGGCCTTTTTAACAGGATGTGATTTAAACCCAAAGCTGTATATCAACATATGCTTTTCCCTCTGCCTGAAATGAACATTGCTTCCTTTCTCCAGGCTAAATTCCCTTATCCTTCAAGACTTAGTGTGGTTGTAACATCCATCTGCAGACTTTCCTGATTCCTTTTGACTGTATTTTGTATCATACTGCATTTGAAAGAATGGCATACTCAACTTTCTTTTTCAAAATAGCTTTATTATTTTTATAAAAATAATATATGCTTACTTAAGAAGAGTGAAATAATATGTTATATGACAATGACTATTGTATTAGTCCGTTCTCCTGCTGCTATAAAGGACTGCCAGATACTGGGTAATTTATAAAGGAAAGAGATTTAATTGACTAAAAGTTCAGCATGGCTGGGGAGGCCTCAGGAAACTTACAATCATGGTAGAATGGGAAGCAAACACATCCTTCTTCACATGATGGCAGGAAGGAGAAGTATAAGCAGGGGAATGCCAGATGCTTATAAAACCATCAGGTCTCCTGAGAACTCACACAGTATCACGAGAACACCATGGGGTAAAGTGCTCCCATGATTCAATTATCTCCACCTGGTCCATCTCATGACAGATGAGGATTATGGGAACTCCAATTCAAGATGAGATTTGGGTGGGACACAACCAAACCATATCAACTATTAAATTATTTCTTTCTGTTACTAAAGTACTTAAATAAGTGATTGTCAAATTTGAGTCTCACTCCAACAGGTCTAAAAGCAGAAGAAGGTGCAGCTACAGGTTCTTGCAAACATTTATGCAAAAAAAAAAACCACGTTCTAAATACATAATAATAGAAGACATTTTTAAGATGAGGACTCACCTAAATACAAAGATTTGTTTCTTTATTTGTGCCTTGTAATCTTCCCTTCTACTGCTGGTATATTGATTTAATTCTAATAGGTGTATTATTTTAATCATATTTTAGGGAAATCTTCATTTTTGCAATATGAATGACATTTCTGCCTCTGAACCTGTGTCTAGCCTTAGGTGAATTCACAAACTGGACATTCTGTAAGTAGGAATGACTATTTTCCTATACATGTAAGTTGTACACATTGATTACATGACTCATCTCTCTACTACCATGGAGTAAAGAATGAATATTCAGGATGCCATAATTATTTAGGTCAACAAACATTTATTGGACATTTGCTAAATGTGAGGCATTGCGCTAGGTAGTCAGATTGGAAAGATGAATAAGATAAATTCCTTACTGCCAAAGAACTTAGAATTTAAGTAACTGAAGAGGAACATATCAACCAAGGCTGCTTGGCCTTTATTTTAAAGATTCTTTAGATTACCTGCACATTCTCTAAGATATAAGTCCAGGACAGGAATTCTGTCTGCTCAGGAAAATGCTCAGAATATTTTTCAGCTAGATTATATGGACTCATTGACAACAGCAGAAAAGTCTCGACTTGGGCATAGTAGACTATTTGAATGCTTTGCACTCGTTCCACATACTGATGTAAAAACTTACTTGAACTCTTTCAGGTATTTAAGTGACCATTTATTGAAATAAACGTGAAAGTTTGATAGCAAAAACCAGTCAGACGAAGTCTGTCCTTGTATAATATAAATAGCCAAGACCATAATAAAGACCAGAAACACTTGTACATCCTTAATGTGTTTCTAAGAAGGTCATTGTGAGCAACCCTGCACACTTTTCAATTCTGAATGGACTTTATCAATATTCCACACATTTGGCCTGAATCAGTGGCTCCTTCTTTTAACTGGGGCATTCCTAGACATGGTGTTATAAAGTAGAGAGTGGAAAGGTAAAGTCATCATAGCATGGTTATCTGTCTGGACAAGGTCAGAAGTCAGAAATAGGCAAAGAAAATGTTAGAACTGTGAGCAGTGTGAAATGTGTATTTCTCTTGGAAGCACTGGATGAAAGGCAGGGCAGATAGGGAAGCAGGTAAAATAAAGCACTGCTAATATTTCAATTTGGTGTAACATCTACATTTTAAAATAAACCAACTACCAGGACTCAGGACTATTACAAACTACAATTTAAAAAAATTCCAAGTGTGTTTCTAACTAAAACATATGTAATTAAAAAATATTTCCATTTGTTCTGTGGAACTGCCTATCGAACACATATATATAGGTAAGAGAAATGCTACAGGAGACTGACTGTTTCTTCTTTAGAAAACTGTGTTTAGCAGAGGAAAAGAAATCAATGCCTGTATTTTCCATTATGACAAAGCTCATAATTGTCCTTAAATGGACTTTTTGTACTCAAGGCTTATGATTCCAATTTGTCATTAGTGATAACTTGCATCAGTATCTAGAAAAGAGAAAGTTTCAGAGAAGACAAAAAAGTCTTCTATCTTAATTTTCACAGCCATTTATTGATGTGCACATTACTTTCATTCTTTCAACCTAAATTGAATGTAATATGCAAAATAGACTATCTGAATAAGTAGATTATTAGGAAGAAAAAGGTAGCATGAGTCCTGTTCACTATAAGGGAAAGTATATTAAACAAATTATAAATAATATAATTACAAACCATTGTAGATCTACAAAGTATTTCTTGTGTGGTTTACTTAAGGATAGTATAGTCATTTAAGTTGCAAAGAATAGCCACAGAAGGAAGCATACCTATTCTACCTGAATTCTACAGAATTTTCAGTAACAAAAAAAACTGCAGATCCCCTTTCTAATGTTCAATGTGGAAATAAAAAGCCTCGTCCTTTTAGCTATTAAACACCATATCTTTTGATCACTGAGTCTTCCTCTTTTATTTATTTATAGATGTGAAAGAGCAGGTAGAATTATGCACTGCAGGTATCTGAGAATTTCAGTTTCAGAAGGAACAATAAGGATGGTGCCATCCAACCCGGCTATGCCACAGGCAAGACTCACAGAGGTAAAATGAGTGTGCAAAGTCAGGAGCAAATCCAGGGCTGGAATCTGGGGCTTTTCCCATTATCCTAGGCTTGATCTAAGGTCAGCACTGTCTAAGTTAATGAACATACAGTTTTGCAGTTCTAGCAACAGAGCTCAATAAAACTACACTTGTTCTGGTGCACACCAATGAGATCATCCAAGGTCATTATTTCTGTCTTCCAAGCTCTGCAGATCAGCACACTACTGAAACCCAATTAAACCACAAGAGGTGGGGAAACATTAAAAATGAATCATTGACTGTTTAGGGGGAAATAAAAAGACAAGGCTTTCTGAGTCAGCTGAAACTTTCATCAGCCACTGGGCGTACCCTGTGAGCAAAGGAAGTCACAGGGGCCCAATGAGATACCTCTGTCATATTTTTTTCTCCAGATTGTGCTTTCTTGAAGAGATACTGAATTTAAAATGGAGCTATTTGGCAATGACAGGAGTTTAAAGGAGAGAGTTGGGAATTAGACCTTGCACCAAATAATCTACATCCCTGCAAGTGAGTGCGCCGTATTTCAAGCTATTCTGGTTGGCTGAGCAAAGCCCTGCATTTTTGTTAACTCCCTTTAATTAATCTTGTCATAAGTCCTATAGTGAGGTGGATGAACTTTCAAACATTAAACAGTGGAATTACTCACCGGGTGGCTTTTCCCAAACACTCCAACCCCAATTAAAGAGCTGTATTTGGTTTGGGTTTCCTCAAATGGCGCTCCTGTTAACACTCATCAAACACAGGAAAAATAAAACAGCAATTTAACTGTGCCCGCAGTGTGAAAGGCTTGTGCAAATAATCAGCACATTTCTAACCGGTTAGTAATAGGCAGAGTGCAAAAAACAAATGACCAGATTTATACCACTGGGCAGGTCTGAAAGCAATGTTACAGCTGAAATATATTCATTTACAATTTAAAGCAAGGCTTTCAGTGAATAATTGTTTACATAATAGTGAACAGTGCTTGTGCTGCACAACTGGGATCCATTTACAATGTGTTAACCAAATAATGCATGTTTACAAAAGATTTAGAGTTTGTTTTTGGAGAAAAGAATCGTGGTACCCTTGCCAACAAAAGCAGAGCAGTATGTACAGTTAGTAAATCTTTTCTTAGCTGCAAAATTAGCGTCAAGTTGCTTGAGCCCGTAAACTACGTCAGCATAAGTCACTCTCATTAAATTGATGTGTGAAGGTAGTATTCTTAAACAGCAGGTTGCTCCATTCTGATTTTTTTTTTTAATCAGTCAAATAATGAGGTGGGGGTAGAGTTGCTTAACCAGGCCAAGGGAAAAAGAAAGCGGAATCATCTTAAAACGGCCATCCCGGATTTAATAGCCTACAACAAAACCCTAAGCAGGTCAACTTCATGGTTCAGCAATTCCTAAAAGCCTTGTCTACTTCTCCAAAGCTTATCGGTGACGGCTGGTGTATAAGAGCTCCCAATGAGGACTGATTTACAGCACTGAAGGGCTTTGCAGTGACAAAGGAGGGCCAGGGTCCTCGAGTGCTTTCTGTATTTTTAAGATCCCAGAAGATGATGTGGTTCTGTGATAGGAATCTCTTAAACTTTACCATTGACATAAACAGGTCACAGTGCCTGCAAAAGCTTAAGCAGGAGTCAGGAGCAGTCTCTCTCTCTCCTTTTTTTCTGGGTCAGAGTCAGATTTTATCGAGTCAAGCTATCTAATTGAACACAAACCATGTGATAGGACCCAAACAGAGTGTATTAAAAATGAAACAGAAGGAGCCAGGTTTGTCTCAGGCTAGTGCTGTTACACGCGTAAGTTTCAGACATCCCCTGAATACAAAATGATTTTTTTTCCCCCTGCATTGACAAAAGTCCGTCTTGCAGGGGGAAAAAACAGTAGAGAATAAAACAAACAAATCCACACAAACACACAAATCTAGTTTCATGCTAGATGTATCTGTTGTGAAGCAATATGTTGGCTGAATAGGGAAAGTCAGGTGAGTTAAAGTCTTGTGGCAGCCTGATTTAAACCATGGCTACACAAACCAGAGCCCTGTCCAGATCTCAGGAAAGTGAATTATATATAATAACACTTACAGTTTCCTACTACTATTAGATTTGCCTTCTTACATAAATGCTTAAGTTATGATAAAAAACAGGGCCATGTCAGTTCCTTTCAGTCTCAGCACATTTGCTATTAGCATAAGAAATGCTGCTTATGGCAGAGCTAGTCGGGCTTGAAATTTCTGAATTAATGGATTTGATTTCCTCTTGAGACAAACCATCAGCCTTGCAGTAATGGAAATAGATATAGTTGGTAAAACAAATAAAAAGCTGGCATGCAGATAAAATGGGTTTCGGTTTAAAATAGTAATGTTGTAATTGAAGTGAACAATTACAGGGTTGCTCCTAGGCACAAAAGAAATACCATGAAAATGAAGTAATGTTTTTGTTAAGTATAGTCATTTCATGAAAATGTAGAGCTGCAGATGTCATTGTCTGCCAAAGGGAAAACTATACTTATTCTTCTATACAAAGATCATTTAATAACATTTGGCTAATTTTAATAATAATTGCTAATATTAACCCTATATTTCACTGGGAGTTTGAGGACAAAGGCTCCCTCCCCCGCCCTGTTCTTTCCCTGTCTTGGTAGTGAGCCAGGGAGAGCAAGTTCCTGTAAAAAGCCATTGGCAATGTGCTATCAAATCCCCACCCCCAGCAGCAGTCTACTCTTTTTTAATGTCTTATTTCTCTTTCTTTGTCAAGCATCTGTTATCAGGAATGGAGCCTGTTAGCTGGCAATTGGAGGTGCAGGAGGAACTGGAATAAAGAGGGGAAGGAGAGTGGGAACGCCAGGCAGGACAGGAAAGTGGGCTCTGGAATGTTCACATTTGATCCCCTGCACATTCTTTCTTTTTTTTTTTTCCTTTGGTCTGTTGCAACTTGTCTGTGAACCATACGAAATTCAGAATAGAAACTTCCATTTTTAGAACTTGAAATCTTTTCATTTTCATACACACACAAACGGAGGCAGCCAAGGCCACAGGATATCACAAGAAACATAAGTGTCTCATTGACTCTGAAAAGACAGTGACACAAATACACTTTCACAAAATGCTCAGCTGGGTCCCAGCCTGCCACTTGGCCCTTTCTCCCACTCCTCCGTTTCATTGCATTGAAGGAAGAGACATGCACTGTGTTTCCTCCTCAGGTTTTAGTAATTAAAACAATATTGTAGCTCTTTGAAGTTTTATTTGGAAATATACTGCGCTTTGTTCCCTCCAATGCTGCCTGGCTCACACAGCCTATTTGGCGCATTTGGCATCTCTTTATCCAAGGGAAGCGCTTTTCCCGGGGTTGGTATTTTTTTTTTTTTCTTGGCATCACAGCATTGAAGAAGGCACAGAGGAGTGAGAAAATGAAAGTCCCCCTTAACAAAGGATTGAGCTGTGACTTCTTAAGAGAAAAGGTTAAATTGACTGGCTGCGTGTCTTGGAGTGAAACAGGAGAAGGGCTGCTTCCCTTTTTACTCACCGCCAGTCAGAATAATTCATTTCCTAAGGCAGCCTACCTGTGACAGTCACAGGTGACCTCCCAGCCTGCTAAGCTCGGATGATTTCCCCTTCCCATTGCCCGAGTGCAGCTCCTGCCAGAAGACAAATGTACTGCAAGTCGAAGACATATCTGTAGTGCGGAGGAAAAGCAGCCTGTCTACATATGTCATTTTAAAGCCTCGCACGGAGATTTTACTGCTTTCTTCACACTCTCACACTTACATAAATACACCCACACAGTACAGGCAAGTTCCCCAGACTCCCAAGCGTTTCTCTCCCATTAGGAGACATTTTAAAACAAATTAGCACCCTCCCCAAAAGCCTATTGGCCTAAATGTGTTTATTACTTTGTTTGCTGTTTTAAAAACTCTTCCTAAAGGCGTCAAACGAGGCTGGGGAGTTCCTACAGAATTAAGCACACCCTTCGTCTGTTGAGGAATATACACATTCGACAAAGACTGAAATCTCTCTTTTTTTTTTTCCTCTTGACACAGCGGCTGGTGACACATAAATGTACTTTTTTTCCTTTGACAGAGTAATAAAAATCTCATTATCTCTGAATAGGCAGCAATTTCGTTATCTAATCTTTTTACCAAAAGGTTAGTTAATTAATCAGAAACAAATCCTGATGATTATTTCAATAGAATTAGAAAGACAAATCACCAGAGTACAGCTAAATAGGGCAGGCCTGCGGTTTCACCTGCTCATTGCCATGCAGGCCCCGTGACTGTCAGGGCTCCTCCAGGCAGACAGCCTCCGGAACAGCAGCCAGCAGATGGCTGCGCCGAGCGGCCAGCCTGCCTCCGCTCCAATGCCTGTGATCCCATTACCTCACTGAATCCGTTACCAGGGTAACTGTTAAATTGCTGTGAAAGGCATGGTAATAAAGTAACCTGTCACATTGGCAATAAAAGGAGCAGAATTTTCCTGTTCACTGAACTTTGCAGCTCATCAATACTCACTTGATGGAGAAATTCACCACTACTCCTGGGTCAGCCACAGGAATCTTTCCATAAGGCTTCTGAAATGCAAACGAAAGTTTATGTAAACACAAGAAAAGATAGAATTAAAAGCTGGATTCTTAGCTGCACAGAGCAAATGCTTCTTTTTCTGTGCAAGGGCTCTGGGAGCTTGAAGAACATCAGATTGCTCCCTTTGTTTTTGTTGTTTTTTAATTTAAAGCATGCTAGATAAAAATAACCTTTGCTGGGGAAAGACAGCTGTGATTAATTCAAGACTGGGAAAACAAAGCACGAGGAAAAAAATCCTTTGTTCCTAAAATCTGTCTTTCTTTTTTTCAGATGCTATCTTACTGGCTCTTTTTATTAAAGGGTCAGGGTGCTTTAAAAAATGATTTGGATTTGAGAGTTTTTTTTTTTTTTGTTTTTTTTTTTAAGAATGGAGAGCCTTGGTTTTCATAAGCATAAGGAGTTGAAAACAGCAAGCCCCCTTCTTCCAGCCCACCCCAACAGTTAGGGCTCATCAGTTCTAACTGCAAAGAGATGAATGTGTTCTGAATGTATGGTGTGGTTCTGTCTCCCCCTCCTTCTATAAATGCCCTTCAAAGATTTCTATGTCATGGACTCTAGTGGTGACGCTACCAGGTATAAGATTTACTAGAGTTAATTGAGTGGGGTTCTTTGAAGTAAGAAAAGAGAATAGCCAAATGCTTTCTCAGTATTAAAGAATAAGCAATAAGTTGAAAACCCTATTTACCTCAATTACATTTTGCAGCCAGACCTACAAACATACATGGAAAGTGGGAGTGGGGTATATCTATGCTGCCCTCATTACTAGGCATTTGCAGACTTCACGCTTTTGGCTCCATTTGGTGCTGTCATTAATTAGTCAGTATTAACCTTAGAATACTTTAGAGCTTGCCTATTGAAATAACTTTGGGCACACTCCTTTTTCTCCCTCCCTCCCTTTCACTTGCAAGTGCTTACAGCTTGTTAATAAAAAACTGACAGTATTTCTTTGACCAGCCAGCAGCAGACATAAATCGTACTTCTAGTTGTAGCTGCAACCCATGAAAAGAAATGCCTCCAAACAGGAATTGTCCTCATTACAGGCTGCCCAGCATGGAATTACTGCAGAGCCTCACTGGCTGGCCACATCAGATAGAGCCTTCGACTGGCATCTTAGACAGGATAGAGCTTTTAGGAATGAGGTGGCAATGTGCTACACATTAAAAAGTAGATGAGCTAGTTTTCAGTTAAAATCAGGAAAATGAAGGCTATGGCTTCATGGTATCCAAATTTGTTTAAAAATGGAAAATATTTTCTATCCTGTTGAAAGCAATTCTTAAATATAAAGTCACAACACACACATATATGCATATACAAACACACAATGTGAATTGAATTGTAAAATGTGTATTCTACTACTGATATTTAAAGTGTTCCCTGTAATTATACTTCTCACCCTTCTGCATTTTCATACGGTTCCAAGGAGAGAAAGAAGTAGAATTACAGAGGTAATTACTTGTGAACAACCTCTCCTCCCCCCAGTCATATGCTGCCATCACTATGAAGGTTTTCCATGGGTGTCAGGGAAGGAGGCTGTCTTTTTCTACACCAGAGATGGTCCAGCTAAATTTGGAAGAATAAGAACTAGTTTATATAATAGCTAAAAATGAGCTAGATCTTTAGATCAGGTGCTGTAAATACCAATGGTGCCACGAGAATTACATAAATGTGTGAGGTCGGTTGGATGTGAGAAAATGGAAGATGGTGGGCTTGTCATCCACTGGATAATCTATTCCTTCTTTAAAGGGGACAGTATTATTTAACTGCCATCTACTCTTTCCATGTAGCTAAGGAGAGTCTCCTGTCATCACATCTCCCGACTTTTCAAGAGAGTCAGCCCCAGATAAAAACTTGAATCGAATTATATTAGTTTGCTGGAGCAGCAATAACAAAGTATTAAAACTGAGTAGCTTAAACCAGTGGTCTCCAACTTTTTTAGCACCAAGGACTGGTTTTGTGGAAGATAATATTTTCATGGCCAAGGTGGGGGCTGGCAGGTGGTTTTGGAATGAAAGTGCTCCACCTCAGATCATCAGGTATTAGATTCCCACAAGGAGCACACAACTTAGATCCCTCGCATGCACAGTTCACAGTGAGAATTTAATGCCCCTGCTGATCTGACAGGAGACAGAGCTCAGGTGGTAATGCTTGCTCCCCTGCCGCTCACCTCTTGCTGTGCAGCCAGTTCCTAACAGGTCATGGGGACTGGTTCAGGTCCACGGCCCGGAAGTGGGGACCCCTGCCTTAAACAACAGAAATTTATTTTCTCACAATTTTGGACCCTGGAAGTTCGACATCAAGGTGTCAGCTGGGTTGGTTTCTTCTGAGGCCTCTCCCTGGCGTGCAGACGTCTTCTCTCTGTGTTTTCACATGGGTTTCCTTCTGTGTCTTTTCCCTGATCTCCTCTTATAAAAACACCAGGCATTTTGGATTAGAGCCCACCGTAATGACCTCATTTTAACTTAATTAATTCTTTAAAGACCCTATCTCCAAATACAATAATGTTCTGAGGTACCGAAGGTTAGAACTTCCTATAAATTTTAGGAGAACACACAATTCAACCCATAACATCAGTGTAGGCCAGGCAAAACTTTGTTCCAAGGTAAATCTTGGCAATGATAATAATTACACAGTGCTTACAGTGTGAAAGGCATGGTTGTGGGCCTTTTAAAGGTATTAACTTACTGAATTCTCACAGCATCCTTATGAGGTAGGAAATATTATTATTCCTATTTTATGGTGATACATTAAGGCACAGGGAGATTAAATAATTCACTCATGCAGCATCTGGTGATGCTGGGATTGAAGTCCAAGCAGTATCTAGTTTGTAGTTTGTGTTTTAGCTGGGTCAGAGCTTTCATGGTGACAAATGACCTACTATGACCTTGAGGCTGTAGAGTAGAGGCACTTAAGAGCTAAAAGTTAGAGTTTTGTAATTGCCAGAAATGCAGATAATCCTTATCAAATCAGGTTTACATAAGGGTTCTGTGGATGCACACCTATTCTCACAGAATGGGTTTGGCCATTCTGATGAATCAACTGGATTTCTGCTGAATCAACTGGATTTGAAGTAACAAAGTACTCTTTATCGTCTAGAGAAGGTTCAGAGACTGAAAGAAAGCAAAGTTCCTTAAATTAATGCTTTGGAGCCAAAGATATCAACAAGAGTCTCTGAGTATCTGAGATAATTACTAGGACAAAGTTTGGAAATTTCGGGAAATGCTGTAATTTGTGTTTGTTTTGGTAAGTGTTGTTGCTACTTATCTTTTCAGCCACCATTAGTATAAAAATTAAAACTGAAAAAAGGTTTTAATCTATTTTCCAGATCTATAAACTAAGAATAATCTGGAGAGGTCAATTCCTAATTAGAACCTAGTATGGAAGACTAGGATCCTAAAACTCAGTGGTAACTCCGAAGAGTAAAAATCTACCCCAGAGCTATACGTGAAAGATTGGAATTTTACAAGGAGGTTTGCATTTTAAAACTGGTTGCTGAGATTTCACCAGGTGAGGACATCTCTGTGCATCTTTCCGACATCTTTCTATTTATTTTTCCTCTATCACCTTTTTCTCTCTCCTTTTTTTTCTCTCTCTCTCTCTCTCATAGTTACGTGGAAGGGTAAAGCAATAAGAAAAAAATGGATTTATTCACATTTTCTCTTCCTCTTCCAATGAAATGAAGTAATTTCTCCACAGGGCCGATTATGCCCAGTTAATTGATTTTCTTAATCAGATATTTTGGAAAAACAATTGAGCTTTGTGAACTTCTGGATGTTTTTCTCACTGGAGATTTGAGAGGCACACACCCACTGTTCTTTGTATTTCTAGACTACGTAATTGGAGCATATATCAAGGCAATTTTTTCATACCTTCTATTTTCATGTAATTTTCCTCCTTGAGTGATTTTTTTTTTCTCACTTCTCGTGTGCTTACACTAAGGCATTACAGGGAATGACAATTCTGCTTGGAGCCTGTGAAACACAGCAATTTGAGGCTGTAATGCCTAAAACTGTTATTGCAGGTCCAAATGGGACTATATTATATAATTGTGATGTCTACCAACTTAGAGCAAACTCTCTTTTTCTTAATGTAAAAAAAGACATTTGATTTGCTAACCAATTATGCGATCATCATAATCAGCATTTATTTTAACTTGGCTGAAATCATGTCCAAAACTGAAGAGAAGCAAGTATGAAGAGAGTGGGGATAATGAAGGGAATAAATAAAACAATTTTGATATGATGTATTAACCTAAGAAATACAGAGATGTTTTTGAATTACATTTTTCCTTCAAATTCTCTTTGAATCATGATGTGATTTAAAAAAACTATCTACTAGCACTTAACATATTTAAATTTTCAAGAGTATTCTCCTAGTCTATTCTTTTTCCTCCTAGTTACTATTACTACAATTTGGTGGCAATTACAAGGTGACAAATTAACTCTAGTGCTTTGGAACAATGGTGATGCTAAAACATCTCAGCTTCCCTCTTACCAATTTTCAAAATAAAATAGTTATGCTATGCAAGGAAGTGGCTGAAAGAGCACATTTATGTATGTATTTGTGTATGATAAAAAGATTGGGGCATGTGTTATATTATTCGATTAGTTATGGGTAGCAGGATCCTGGGTAATTTTTTAAAACTCTGTTTATTTGTTATTTTCAATCACTAGATATAGACACATATATAGATGACTACTCCATCTCTGTCTCCAGCTTCAACATCTTGAAGCCATCAGCTCTTACCATCTCTCATCTAGATATTCTTAAATGGGAGTTTAGGTAAACTAAAAGATTCCAATCTGAACTGATTATAATATCCCCAGATTCTTCTAGTTCCCATATTTCTACTCACATAATTATTTTCCTTTCAGCTACCCAAATCTAAAGCCTGGCAAATCTAACTCTCGGTTTCTGGTCTCTTGTTTCTCACAAGTAATCAGTCAACTCTAATGGGTACCATCACCTCACAGTCTATAGATCACAGACTTCCCCTCTGTTATCTGTAGGACTAATACCCAGTTCTCTGTTATTTCTTATGCTAACTGTCACAATAAGCAATCAATTAATCAGTCAGCTAGCTCTTAAAACATATTTTCCCTCTCAAGTTAAGACATTTGTAAAGTTTTAGACACAGTTCTGTCACAACCTCAATTGAGGGTAAACATATTATCAGATAGAGGATTTTTCTTAGATGTGCTAACTAATGGTAAATAATTCTCCAATCTGTAAATTATTTTTGTGGGAACTATAGGCATTTTGAGCCATGATCTTCATCCATGATGATTAAGCCTGCATAAAAATTCCAAGTAGTGCCAATTTGCCGTACCTGGTACTCTAAACAAGCTTTTTTTTTTTTTTGGTTTTCATACCATTCACTAAAATGTAAGATAATTGAGTGAAAGATTAAAAGAATTATTTTATAAAGCCTATCAATACAGCCAGATCTAGTAAGTATTGTAATGGAAATCATTTTGATGTTCAATGGGCTTGATAAAGGAAGATGAATTTGTTGAAACTCAACCATGGATGAAAAATGAATTGTGACATGGCAAACATTGCCCACATGAATTTCTAGGGTCAGCTTTGTAGCTGACTACCTGATCAATGAAAGTTTTACTGTAAAGAGCCAAATGGATCGAGTCATGGATAGCTTTCTTCACCTCTAAGCAGTTGCACGACAAGGTATTTTTAAAAAAATTTATTTTATATGAAAGACGCAATCTTTCTATTAAGAAGAAAATTGGGGGCCGGGCGCGGTGGCTCACGCCTGTAATCCCAGCACTTTGGGAGGCCGAGGCGGGTGGATCATGAGGTCAGGAGATCGAGACCATCCTGGCTAACAAGGTGAAACCCCGTCTCTACTAAAAATACAAAAAATTAGCCGGGCGCGGTGGCGGGCGCCTGTAGTCCCAGCTACTCGGGAGGCTGAGGCAGGAGAATGGCGTGAACCCGGGAAGCGGAGCTTGCAGTGAGCCGAGATTGCGCCACTGCAGTCCGCAGTCCGGCCTGGGCGACAGAGCGAGACTCCGTCTCAAAAAAAAAAAAAAAAAAAAAAAAAAATTGGGTCATTGAATTATTCAGAAACTGAATGGTTATATAATAATCAATCAAATGTAGATATTCTGGTCACTTCCTGTGTCTCTAGTGGCTATTAAGAAGGCAAGGAGAAACTTATTTTTCCTATGGGATGCACTTCCAACTTTCTTAAGAAAAACATCAAAGAAACATATACCTATTTTTCTGCTTCAGAATCCACCAACATCATCTGAACTCAGCAAAGCCACAAAGCATAGGATCTTCCACACTGATTAAAACTTAGCTAAGGAGGTTATCACTACTGAATTCCATTCTACCTGAAATTCTCTACATTTTGCATTCAAATTTAAACATAAATATTATTTACAAAGCCATTAAAATATTCAAATGCTATTTATGTTCTCTTTTTCTCCTTCTAACATAGAAACAAAAATATTTAAAGTTTTTGAAATTCAATCCAGTGGTGATTATTGAATTAAAACCATATTTAGAACTTTTAAAAAATTTAGTAACATTTTCTATTTCTGTTTTACAATCAAGAAGTCCAGAATGGGAAAATAAGTTTTTTTTTTTTTTTTTTTTTTCTTAAAGAAAAAAACCAACAAAGCATATATGGGCCTTCGGAGAAAACAGCCTTAGTGTCCTTATTTATGAAGAATTTTTTTGAAAGAAAATGGTAGGAAACCCTAAATGATAATTTGATCTTCAGGCTGTCAACTAACTCTGCCCAGACTATCTTTCATTTATATATGTGTGTATATATATGAAATGTATATATGTATATATGAAATATATATGTGTATATATGAAATATATATGTGTATATATGAAATATATATGTGTATATATGCATATATGAAATACATATGTGTATATATAAGTGTATATATGTGTGTATATGTGTGTGTGTGTATGTGTGTGTGTGTGTGTGTGTGTGTATATATATATATATATATATATATATACACACTCAGCCTCCTGAGTAGCTGGGACTACAGGCACGTGCCACCACGCCCGGCTAATTTTTGAATTTTTAGTAGAGATGGGGTTTCACCATGTTGGCCAAGATGGTCTCAATCTCTTGAACTCATGATCCACCTGCCTCAGCCTCCCAAAATGTTGGGATTACAGGCATGAGCCACCGCGCCTGGCCTCCATTAACATATATTGTTAAGTTTACATTGTAAGGATGCTGACAACAAAGCTTTTTATCTTGAAATATAATGTTCTCTCATAGAAACCTAACTTGAAAATTTATGGAGACTTTGGCTGTGTTCAAGTGGTTCTTTCTCTGTGTTAGCTTTTGAAAATATTGGTTGGCAGCTATATTTTTACAGTCTTATTTATATGTAATAGAGCAAGTAGAAGGTCATAGAAATCTAAGCTTGGAGCCATCTCTACCTGTATGGAGGTATCTCATATATCCCTTGAATTAAGGTAAGTATTATGTATTCTATATGTGTTAGTTCTATATGTGTTAGTAAAGCAATTAAAAACATCATTTTTCTACTTTTGACTTTTTATTTAAAAAGATGGTTAAGGAAATAATCAATAGCAAGATCACAGAAGGAAAAAAGTCAATAAAGCCTCTAATGATTTGCAATAAGTGGTGTAATTTTGAGTGTAAATACAAAATACATTTTAAAATCACATACTTGGAAAAGTGTCCATATTTCATATTTACTATACTGTGTTAATTTATAGTTGTGTTTTCATTCTAGGAATGAAAGTACATACAAAGCCTCAGGCTGAAAAGTTCTGATTATTAGCAATGATAGTAAGGATTGTTCATAATATACAGTATTGAACAGAGAAAAAGATCTTAGATTTTTATTGGCTCTGCTGTTTTGCAATACAAATGCAAACTCCCTAAAGAAATGAGATGTGTCAAGTAGTGCTTGAAACACGGCCTCTTACAAACATAGGGAATGATTATTTCTGCAAGTTTCAGTTTGCAGCAGCACCATATGCAGTGGCAGCTGAGCACTGGGAGCTTGGAGACCAGGGATCTTTTGGAACCCAATAAAGAAATTGTGACTTGCATGCAAAGTGCTAAAGAATCACTTTTCCGTAGTTCTAAATTATGCTGAGACTTCAAGGGGATAAAAAAGAACAAAGAAACATATTGCATTTCCAACCTGATGATCTTTAACAGAGAGCTAAGCAAATTAAGATGAAATTAATTATATGTAAAATATCCCCCCACCCCAAATTTTTCAAATAATATTGAAAAATCCTTTTCTGCAGCAGGCAGTGTAGTGTCAGCTACATGTCTTTGCTCATTAAAAATAATATCATTTTTATTGTGTCTTCTCAACATTATCAAAAGATTCAAAACCATGGTGAAAGATCAAGGAGAAAATTTATTCCTCAGGTGTTGACTCTGTTCCCAAGTCACTCAAGCATTGCTCCATTGCTCTGTGTCAGCCTCAGAACACTCAATTCAATTATAAGCTGCAGCCATGAGGGATCATGTTTTAATCTGTGTATAAACAAAGGAATAAAATAAAAACATCACATTTACAAATTCTAAAGATGCTGCTTTTTATAATCTGAAACCAGGAATTATTGCAATCATATTACTTGATTCCCATAATGGGAAGAAATAGGGCACATCTGCATGTAAAGCCAGGCATCCCTACTACAAATGACATACAATTAATGTGAAAATCATCACCCACTAGAAGCAAAAGGAAGACATCTAAGAATGCCATACAGTCGTGTATTTAACAATAGCTGTCATGTATTAAAAGACGCACATTTTCACATTATTGCTTTTCTAAAGAACCTGATTCATTTAGTTTCCCGAAAATAGGAAAAGAATCAGAAAAAGTAAGCTCAGTTTTCTAGCCATGGTCTAGCCCCTTTTAGGTAGGTTTCTGGAATCTAAATGCAGGACCATAATTCTGCATGATTTTTTTTTTTTTTTTGAAAATAAAAACTGCTTTGGGGAAGAGTGGTTACCACCGTCAGTGTGCTAGTTATCTAGATGTAAACAAGAACCCATAAAATCCTCTCACAATCTAATGACTTGTTGTAACCCACCTGCCACCTACCTGAATCATTTAGTATACCTCAATAAAAACTGTATTACTTTAACACTAAATGTGATGAAGACTTTATGCTGGCACTTAATTATAGCTCTCTGCACTTTGTTTTTGTTGCATTTCCTTTGAGCATCAGTTTTGCATATTTTGAAAAACAACAAGCTAACATCCAGGAAGAGATATTAGAAATATTATAACATAGCCCAGGGGTCCCCAGTCCCAGTGGGCTGGTAAGAACCGGGGCCGCACAGCAGGAGGTGAGCAGCGGGTGAGCATTACTGCCTGAGCAATGCTTCCTGTCAGATCAACACTGGCATTAGATTCTCATAGGAGTACCAAACCTATTGTGAGCTGTGCACGCAAGAGTTGCCTGCTCCTTGTGAGAATCTAAACTAATGCTTGATGATCTGAGTATCTGAGGTGAAACAGTTTCATCTCTAAAGTATCCAACACCCAGCCCCCACCTCCCACCCCCACCTCCCTCTGCCTTCCATGGAAAAAACGTCTTCTACGAAACCATTCCCTCATGCCAAAAAGGTTGGGGACCACTGACATAGTCTATACATAATGAGGATTTTTTTTTTTCAAATTGTAGGACAAACACAAAACTCTCACTGGCTTCTATTTCCCTGCAACATTCCAAGTGAAGGAGAATTCTTCTATCAGAAAATGATCAGTCTGCAGTGTTGGCATACTGGTATTTGACCATAGAGGACTGAGGAGTCTCATTTTTACATGACCTTTATTTCCAGGAGGGGTATATTTATTTAATTTCTCATAGAAAAAAGTCTATATAACCAGATAGCTGCATAGCCAGATGACCTTTTATTGCTCCTTCAAATAGGTCAAAATGAGCAGTGATTCCTGTTATTGGGAAATAATCAATCAGTGTTTTTTTTCTTTTTTTTTTTAAGAATAGAATGTTATTGTGAACTTTTGTGTGTAACAGAGAAGTGATAATTTGTTCATGTTTGAAAGATATTCCCTCAATGTTTAAATCAATAATCAGCCAAATGGGAAGATTGCAGCCGTGCTTGGTGCAGACTTCCTACCATTAGTGCCTATCTTTTTGGACCCGAAGAACTTAACTGTGTTGGTCATGGGTTTTACTTAGGGTTGGTCAAACCATTTAGCTGGGCTGTATTTACTAAAGTCTAATAGGCAATAGAACGAGACCAATACATGTCAAAAATTCACATTTGAAGTGAATCTCAACCACGGCTGAGGCTTACATTTGGTTTCTTCTCAACTGTAAAGAAATGGAACATCTGGGGAGATTATTCAGATACACATTTTGATATTCCACCGCAACGTAAGGTATTAAAGGAATGCACTTTAAACAACTGTGTTTAAAAGGGGGGACAATTCAGTTCTATTCACTCTGTAGAAACGGAAAATATTTCATCTCAGTATTTCTCTTATATGTGTATGAGATAATGCTAATACTTATACTCAATAAATAATATGAGTGACATAAATTAATATGGGCATAAATGAATACTAATGCCTAGACAAAATGAGTGATTTGCCTTGCTTTATTGATTGGTTTACAAATTATGTTTACTGTCATATAGAAATTGTAGCTGCCTTGAACATGGCTAGTTAATTTGCTACATTAATCTGATGGTAACAGAGCTTAATTTCTCTGAGTCTTATCCAAAATAAACACGCCTGAATTTCACCATGGTGGTAGTTCTGAAATGTTCCCACTTCAGCAAAACTATTAATATCTACTGCCCAAAAACATAATTGTAGCAATAACTCTCCACTAAGAAATTGAATTAGTACTTCTAGGTAGAGGAGAGTACAATTTTAAGCATAACTTAAACTTTCAGCATGGCTCAAAAATGTCAAAAATCACTGCTTAAAGAAAACCATATAACTCAAAAGCACTCATTCATGATATTGCTATAAATAAGTGCTCTATATCTGCCTTATCACCAAATAGAGTTAGGATAGAGGTGTGTTGTTGTTGAAGTGTGGTATCAAATTGACTCTAGTATTTGAAAGGCAACTTTTATTGAAAATTGAAGATAACCTCTGAAAATCTTGAGTTATAAACAATCTGAGACCTCTGCCCTTTTTGTTGAAAACTTCTGTATTATATGCACCACAAGAGACATATTTACATCAAAAATGGAAACCCTTGAGCCTTGCTCAGTTAGTACGGAAAATGCAATCTAACTTCCTTTGGTTGATGTTTTATTAATAAAAATTGAAAAGAAACCTTCCATGAACTTGTAATTAGTTTACCATGCAAAGTGTTGACAAAAGCTCAAGTTCAGCACTCTGGATTTCCCCCATGCTTGGCTGAATGAGAACAGTTCCTGGTGGCAATCATGCTGGGTCATGAAACTAATTGTGCTTTGTGAGGGTGAAAATTCTCAATTTCCGAGCAGGGGACACTGCTGCATGACGGATGAATGTTAGAAATGTGGGATGCTGTGCTCTTTCATCTCTGTCACTGGATATTTATTCTGACTCGGCTTCTAAATTATTCATTTTCTTTAAGCAATCAATATTAATAATCTGATTTGCTCCCTGGCATTTTTAGTCACACTTCTGTTTAACTGACTGTAAATAAAGGTCACTTGGAGGCTTCCTGCTGCTGTTCAGAAGGTCCTTGCCTAATTAATTCCCGACACTTTTTTCCCTATGACTGTGATTAGCAGCTGCAATCAGGTTGAGCAATTAGCTGCCTCCTTGCACTGTGATTTGCTCAGTACAGCCCCCAAGATGAGGCTCCATTCGGTCATTCAGTCTTTACTCTTAAAAAGTAGCTTGAGTAGGGAGGATTGATTTTTCACTTCGAGGTTTACAAATTTGCAGATAATTACAGAGGAGATTATTAAACCCATCTGCCAGCTGCTTTAGTCATCTCCCTGTTTAAGGTCCTCAAATCCTGAGCACCTTGGGAAGAGCACAGCTTGCTGGTGTTCTGGAACCAGAAAGGTTGGGGTTGCAATCCAGGCCTCCCTACTTACAAGCTCTTTGACCTTGGGCAAGTTATTTACTATCTCTGTCAATTAAAAGAAGCCCTCCCTCAGGGTTTGTAGTGAATATTAAATGATGCTAAATTCACAAATGGATTCAACAAATGTTTATTAAGAACTAGAAAGTTCTGGGTACAGGCTGTTTTGTAGAAACATGGTATGATGGTGGTAGAGAAAGAGAATGAATATGTAAGCAAACAAGTATATCCATAAATTGTGACTAACCTTGTGAAGGAAAAGAACTGAATGCTATGAGAGAGAGAATGTAACTTTAGATTGGGTGGTTCAGGAAAGCCTTGCTGAGGAATAACATTAAGTTGTATGTGTTCCAGGGTAGAAAGAGTGTGTATGTCTGCAGTGCAGTGAACTCTAGCTCAGCAGGTGGAGGGCACGGTAGGAGACAGAATTGAGATGGTATCTTTGGCCAGCTCACTCATTCAGGGGACAGAATGGCAGAGTGGTTGTGACTGGATTCAAATCCCAGCTCTGCCATTTATTAAATTCATGACACTGAGCAAATCATTTATCCTCTTTATGTCTGCTTTTCCTACCTCATAGGATTGTTGAAGGCACTAAACAGGATTATATGAAATATTCAAACAAGCTTTGAAAACAGTAAGCACCTAGTGATGCTAAATATTATCACTGGATACTGATAAAAAGTTTGTATTATGTTGAGTATGATGAGAGGGCTCTGGCGTGTCTTTAAATTTTTTTAAAAGTCAGGGTGACTATAGCATGAAAAATTATATTGAAAGAGAACAAGGTGAAAATGAAGATTCTGATTGGAAGGCTATATTCTTGCTCTAAGTTGACAAAGTGGAAATGGAAAGATGCAAAAAGAGATAACACAGTCGATGTGTCCAATATACAGTAAGAGCTCAATAAATATTAGTTATCATCACTCTGATAATTTACTCACCCACTAATTGCCATTTATGTTCTTGTACCAGGTGATGATAGGTACTTAACTTTTACTTAGATTATACATTGCTTAATATATGAGAAGTGTAATCATTCATCTAAATTATTCATTTTTAGTTATCCTAGTAGTGTCAGATATATGTGAGCAAATGGGTTATATGAGCATTCATTTTGGGCATGTTTCTAAAAATATGAAGAAGCTGGGAGGCAGCCTAAAAGGACTATTCCATGTGTTATGCCAAGTTGTGGCTGGCAATGTAGTAGCTCAAAACCGGCAGAACGGGAAGTGGGCGATAAGTAGGGGTGAGAAGCGTGAGGTCTGAAGCAGTGAAGGACAGTGATCCAGGTTAGGATGGAGGCAGGACACACTATGGTTGGGAGCAGGTAAGATTCAGAAATCAGGAGGATGCAAATGAGGAGCAACCCGGGTTAAAGCAGTCAAGAAGTAGGATGCACTGATTAATATATTCATTTATTTAACAGTTATTTGTTAAATGCTTACTCTATGTCTATTCACTTTTCTGGGACCTGGGGATTCAGACACAAAGGACAAAAATCTGTGGCCTCATGAAGCTTACATTCCTGAAAGTGAAAGCAGATAACAGGAGGTAAATTAGTAAATTGCTATGTAAAAAATGATAAGAAAAATACAGTGGAAATAGACTACTATTTGATGGCTTTCACATACGCTGATGAGATAGAAGCTAATGGAGGGTTCTGAGAGGAGGAGTGACATGATTTATGTTTTAAAATGATCCCTTTGGCTCAGAATAGACTGTAGGGTCAAAGATCAGTTAGGAGGTTGTTCTAAAACTCTGATGAGAGAAGATAGTGACTTGAACATGAATGGTAGCAGCAGAGGGGCTGAGAAGTGGCAGGATTCTGGATATAGTTTGAAGATAGAGCCAATTGGATTTACTGCTGAATGGGATGTAGGATGTGAGAGAAAGATGCAAGTCTTCGGCAATGTGCTAGAACCAGCTCACACCAGTTAAGAAGAGCTGATTGTGCCATCTCTTCTTAATGCTACTCACAGTGAAGTCATAGTTAGCTTAAAAACATAAAATGAGAGAACATTTACACTATGGAAATCAGTAAGTACTCTCTCTCTCTCTCTCTTTTCATATGTGTGTGTATATATATAAATACACATAGTTGACCCTTTAATAACATGGATTTGAATCATGCATGTCCACTTATATGTGGATTTTTTTTTCAGTAAATATATTGGAACATTTTTTGGAGATTTGCAACAATTTGAAACAACTTACAAATGAATTGTGTATCCTAGAAATATCAAAAATTAAGAAGGTAGGTATATCATGAGTGCATAAAATATATATAGGCATTTTTCTATCTTTTACTATCATAAAATATACACAAATCTATTTTTAAAAGTTGCATTTTATCAAGAATTACACACACACAGACTTTACCTGGTGCTATTTAGTCAAGAGAAATGTAAACAAAGATAAAGAGGCACTACTGAATTATAACTGCATAAAATTAACTGTAGTACATACTGTACTACTGTAATAATTTTGTAGCTATCTCCTGGTGCTATTGTGGAGAACTCAAGTGTTATAATATCTGCTTAAAATACCCTGTAATGCTAATAATCTCCACATGAGCAGTTTGTCTCTCCGGTAAATTGCTTATTGCAATAAAAAGTGATTCTCGTGGTTCTCACATATTTTTCACTGTATTTAGTGCAATACTGTAAACCTTAAATAACACCATAGGACCCACATGGAGTGCCACTAGTGTTGCTGAAAGTGCTCCCAAGAAGCAGAGAAGAGTCATGACATTACAATAAAAAAGTTGAATTGCTTGATAATGCACCACAGATTGAGATCTATAGCTGTGATTGCCCACTATTTCAAGATAAATGCACCCAGCATATGGGCCACTGTAAAAACAGAAAAGGAAATTCATGAAGTCGCCATTGCATCCATACCACCATATAGGAAAACTTTTGCACCTTTTGTGAAATATCATTTTATCTCATAATGACAATGCAGCTTTTATGTGGGTACAGGAATGCTATAAGAAAGGCATATATATAGACTCCAATATTATGTGAAAAAAGCAAAGTCATTATATGACAACTTAAAGCAAAAGGAAGGAGAAGAATCTAAAGCTAGAGAATTTAATGCCAGCAAAGGATGGTTTGATAATTTTAGAAAGAGGTTTGTCTTAAGTAATGTTAAGATAACAAGGAAAGAAGCTTCTGCCAACCAAGAGGCTGCAGACAAATTTTTAGACACCACTAGGAAAATCATTAAGGAGAAAGGATATCTGCCCGAACAGGTTTTTAACACAGACAGGAGTGTTCTATTTTGGAAAGAAAGTGCCACAAAATACATTTATTTTTAAGAAAAAAAATCAAGCATCAAGATTTAAGCAGGAAGGGATAGGCTAACTATACTCTTCGGTGTAAATACGGTTGGCTTTATTATCAGAACTGCCCTATTTACAAAGCTGCTAACTCCTGAGTTTTGAAGGGAAAGATGAACATCAGATGCCAGTCTTTGATTGTACAACAAGAAGTCTGAACAATGAGAATACCTTTTCTGGATGGGTTGTGTTGATGCTTTGTCCCTAATGTCAGGAAGCACCTTGCCAGAAAGGGTCTGTCTTTTAAAGTTCTTCTGATATTGAACGATGGCCCTGGCCATCCAGAACACCATGAGTTCAAGACTAAAGGTGTTGAAGTGCTCTATTTACCCCCAAAGACAATATCTCAAATTTAGCCCCTAGATCAGGGGCCACGGATTTTTAAGGCTCGTTACACAGGGTACCTATGGAAAGTATTGTCAATGCTATGGAAAAGAACCCTGATAGAAAAAAAATCATGAAAGTCTGGAAGGGTTACACCACTGAAGATGCCATCCTTGTTATAGAAAAAGCCGTGAAAGCCATCAAGCCTGAAACAATAAATTCCTGCTGGAGAAAACTGTATCCAGATGTAGTGCATGACTTCACAGGATTTATGACAGAGCCAGTGAAGAAAATCATGAAAGAGATATGGCAAAACAGGTGAGAGATGAAGGGTTTCAGGCTATGGATCTTGGAGAAATTTAAGATCAAATAGACACCACACCCAGGGGAATGAACAGAAAGTGGCTTGAGTGACTTGAGAAAATTGTACTTTTCTAAGAAAATCTTATCATTAAATGGCTGAAGAAGGAACCCATTTTTACTTATGGCATTGGAGCTTCCTCTTTTCCTGACAGCTACAAGCCGAAGTATGTGTCCCTCTGCAAGAGCAGATTTTCTTTTGCCTTTCTGTTCTGTTGAGCTGTTCGTTTAATCTTGCAGGGGATCTGACAGCTTTCTCTAGCTCCACAGCACTCACTGAGAAGCACCGAAAGAGAGAAGAAAGAATGCTGATGGCAGCTCCCATGAAGAGATCTGTTATGGGCTATGTGAGCAAAGTCTGCCTGTTTCCCAAGTGTCCAACACTCAGAATTTAGGACTAGAAGTAGCAATTCCAACACTCTGTCTTTATGACAGTTTAGCTAATGAATGTAAGTGTTCAGCATAACCCATTTACTGGACAGTGGATGATTCATATTGAGATGTGCTATAGAAAATGTCAAGTGCTTTTAATTTATGGACTGCATATATAGTTCATGTGGCTAAATTCTCTTCTTCTTGACACAGAGAACAGGTGATGGGTATTCTCAATATACCCTATGTGAATAAGAAAAACATTTTGACAATATACACAATATTGCCCTCAAATGAACTGATTTTTGTGCACATTAGATAAAAGATTCTATTCACTCAATTGGACTTCTTCTCTAGTGACAACACAAGACAGAAGACCTGCTGGAGAAGTTGCTTCCACGTGAGACCCTGTCACTAATGGAACTTATCACCACTTCCTCACAAACACTGTTCTTAGAGCTCATTTCCAGAGGGCCCTCCTCTTCTGTTCCGAACTCTCAGGCATTGACCACTCAATCCTGTCCATTTCAGGTCTCTACCGTTGGCAGACATCTGCTTGGCCTCTCTAACGATACCCACAAATATCCTATAATCACAGGAAAATAAGAGGCTAATGTAGATTCTGGATTCCAGGACTAATAGGAGTTCTTTGTCCCACAGTATTTTCTTTTTTTTTTTTTTTTTTTAAAACATAATTTTTTTATTTTATTTTATTATTATTATACTTTAAGTTTTAGGGTACATGTGCACAACGTGCAGGTTTGTTACATATGAATACATGTGCCATGTTGGTGTACTGCACCCATTAACTCATCATTTAGCATTAGGTATATCTCCTAATGCTATCCCTCCCCCCACCCCACAACAGTCCCCAGAGTGTGATGTTCCCCTTCCTGTGTCCATGTGTTCTCATTGTTCATTTCCCACCTATGAGTGAGAACATGCAGTGTTTGGTTTTTTGTCCTTGTGATAGTTTGCTGAGAACGATGATTTCCAGTTTCATCCATGTCCCTACAAGGATATGAACTCATCATTTTTTATGGCTGCATAGTATTCCATGGTGTATATGTGCCACATTTTCTTAATCCAGTCTATCGTTGTTGGACATTTGGGTTGGTTCCAAGTCTTTGCTATTGTGAATAGTGCCGCAATAGACATACGTGCGCATGTGTCTTTATAGCAGCATGATTTATAATCCTTTGGGTATATACCCAGTAATGGGATGGCTGGGTCAAGTGGTATTTCTAGTTCTAGATCCCTGAGGAATCGCCACACTGACTTCCACAATGGTTGAACTAGTTTACAGTCCCACCAGCAGTGTAAAAGTGTTCCTATTTCTCCACATCCTCTCCAGCACCTGTTGTTTCCTGACTTTTTAATGACTGCCATTCTAACTGGTGTGAGATGGTATCTCATTGTGGTTTTGATTTGCATTTCTCTGATGGCCAGTGATGATGAGCATTTTTTCATGTGTCTGTTGGCTGCATAAATGTCTTCTTTTGAGAAGTGTCTGTTCATATCCTTCACCCACTTTTTGATGGGGTTGTTTTTTTCTTGTAAATTTGTTTGAGTTCATTGTAGATTCTGGATATTAGCCCTTTGTCAGATGGGTAGGTTGAGAAAATTTTCTCCCATGTTGTAGGTTGCCTGTTGACTCTGATGGTAGTTTCTTTTGCTGTGCAGAAGCTCTTTAGTTTAATTAGATCCGATTTGTCAATTTTGGCTTTTGTTGCCATTGCTTTTGGTGTTTTAGACATGAAGTCCTTGCCCATGCCTATGTCCTGAATGGTATTGCCTAGGTGTTTTTCTAGGGTTTTTATAGTGTTAGGTCTAACATTTAAGTCTTTAATCCATCTTGAATTAATTTTTGTATAAGGTGTAAGGAAGGGATCCAGTTTCAGCTTTCTACATATGGCTAGCCAGTTTTACCAGCACAATTTATTAAATAGGGAATCCTTTCCTCATTGCTTGTTTTTGTCAGGTTTGTCAAAGATCAGATAGTTGTAGATATGTGGCATTATTTCTGAGGGCTCTGTTCTGTTCCATTGATCTATATCTCTGTTTTGGTACCAGTACCATGCTGTTTTGGTTACTGTAGCCTTGTAGTATAGTTTGAAGTCAGGTAGCGTGATGCCTCCAGCTTTGTTCTTTTGGCTTAGGATTGACTTGGCGATGTCCCGCAGTATTTTCTGTGAGGATAAACATCTATATTTGCACAGTCTAATGTGACTGTCGCTAGACACATGTGGCTATTGAGCAATTAAAATGTGGGTAGTTTGACTGAGGCTATGAATTTTTGTTTTATTTTATTATAATTAATTTAAATTTTTAATGACCAAATAGGCCTAGTAATTATCATATTGTATTGCCAATAGAGAGGTAAGGCCTCCTGGGCCTTTTTCCTGAGGCTGAGAAATCTATTTCAGTTCTTAATGGAAACTCGCAACATTGAGATGTCCTCTAGGAGTTACAGTAGACAAGACCCTGCTCAAAGAGAAATTTATTGGCCCAGCAGTTGGGCTTTGAGGTCCCTGTATCCACTCCATCTCGAAGGTACCAGCCCATTTATACATCTTAATTGTCCTAATATTAGGTTTGGAGTTTAGGACTTGAAGTTGTTTGACTCCAGGGAGCCTCATTTTTTGTTCTATTTTAGGCCAATTAATCCCTGGGGCATGCTCTATAAATGTGAATGAATGACACCCTCTGAAGTTGTGTGACATTGGTGTGTACACAAGATATTTGTCAATTATCTAGACTCAAGATAATTTGCTCTCCTGCTTTTTGGGCTCTCCTGCTTTCTCATATAGTCATGAGTCAGGGAAGGGGAAACAGTGCTAGAGGCAGAGTAAGGTTGTGGGATCTCACCTGAACTGTGACTGAACCTCATCTTGGATAAGTTGCTTTCTAGCCTCCCTGTGTGTGTACATCCTGTCTAATTGTCTCATCCCACATGTTTCTCAAGATAGGGGAATATCTGAAAGCCAGGAGTGATTTACTGTGTAGTCCAAGGCCAGTAACTCAGCTTTCTTAAGCCAGCACCTCTCTTGTTGAGATTTCCTTTTGTCTATGGACTTATGATAAAGAACACTGGCTTGGGAGTCTCATGTTCTGAATTCCCTAGTCCTGGATTTTTCCATCTCTTTGGTAACTCAGCTTCTCTGAACTTCAAGTTGGAATAATCAAATAAAATGATGGATGTGCAATATTATTAAATATGTTATTAAGAGCAGAAACAAAACTTTCATGGCTATAGGCTTTGATTGCTCTCTTTAGGAGTAAAAGTTTTCTTCTGGAGGTCCATGATATGAGATATAGGGTAGGGTCCAGAGACTGGAATGGAGCCAGGATGAACTATACTGCTTCCTCTCTCCACCACTTTGGAGAGACCAGTGGTGGCTCACAAACAGCTTTAATATCTACTCTCACTACAACTGTGAAACAGTTTCACCGTGAACTGGTTACTAACTTATCTGAGGCCAATGAGGCAGAACACCACCATACACAACAAGTTAATGAAATGGGTTTATTAGTTACAGATAGGCAGCAAGAGACAACAGAAGCCTAGGACTCATTGTGAGCTGGTCCTCAAGGCTCAGGAAAGGTACACCAGGGTGGTTGGAGATTTGACTGCATGTGTTCCACTTGCACAACAGCTGACTGACTCTGAAAGGTAGCCTATTCTGGGTGTTATATCTTGGTGGTCACAAGACCCACTTGGCTAAAGCATTGAAGGACATACTGTTATAGAGTGTGGGGAGACCAAAACAGAGCCCAGGTGTATTAGTCCATTCTCATGCTGCTAATAAAGACATACCCAAGAGTGGGTAATTTATAAAGAAAAGAAGTTTAATTTATTCATGGTTTTGCAGAGCTCAGAAGGCCTCAGGAAACTTACAGTCATGGTGGAAGGGGAAGAAAACACATCCTTCTTCACATGGCAGCAGCACAAAGGAGAAGTGCACAGCAAAGTGGGGGAGGGGGAAGCCCCCTTATAAAACCATCAGATCTTGTGAGAACTCACTCATTATCATGGGAACAGCATAAAGGTAACTGCCCCAATGATTCAATTACCTCCCACCATGTCTAAAGACAGCCATGCAGATGTTGTTTTTATGCTCAAAGAAAAGCCCATAAACACTTCTGCCATGATGGCACCAGTGTGCTCTGTAGTCATGATATGGTTTGGCTGTGTCCCCACCCAAATCTTATCTTGAATTGTAGTTCCCATAATCCCCACGTGTCCTGGGAGGGACCTAGTGGGAGGTAATTTAATCATGAAGTGGTTACCCTCATGCTGTTCTCATGATAGGGCATGAGTTCTCACAAGATCTGATGGTTTTATAAGAGGCATTTTCCTCTTTTGCTCAGCTCTTCTCCTTCCTGCCATCATGTGAAGAAGGACATGTTTGCTTCCCCTTCCC
This sequence comes from Homo sapiens, assembly GCF_000001405.40. Classification (NCBI taxonomy): domain Eukaryota; kingdom Metazoa; phylum Chordata; class Mammalia; order Primates; family Hominidae; genus Homo; species Homo sapiens. The sequence goes on from NT_187549.1 coordinate 154,592, forward strand.
ACCATGATTGTAAGTTTCCTGAGTTCTCCCCAGCCATGCAGAACTGTGAGTCAATTAAACCCCTTTCCTTTATAAATTACCCAGTCTCAGGCAGCATTTTATGGCAGTGTGAGAACAGACTAATCACTAAATTGGTACTGAGAATAGTGGGGTGCTGCATTAAGATACCCAAAAATATGGAAGTGACTTTGGAACTCTGTAACAGCAGAGGTTGGAACAGTTTGGAGGGCTCAGGAGAAGACAGGAAGATGTTGGAAAGTTTGAAACTTCCTAGAGACTTGAGTAGTTTTGGACAAAATGCTAATAGTGATATGGACAATGTTGTCCAGACTGAGGTGGTCTCAGATAGAGATGAGGAACTTGCTGGAAACTGGAATAAAGGTGATCGTTGCCATGCATTGGCAAACAGGCTGGCAACATTTTGCCTCTGCCCTAAAGATCTGCCGAACTATGAACTTGAGAGAAAAAATTTAGGGCAGGGATCTGGCAGAAGAAATTTCTAAGGAGCAAAGCATTCAAGATATGACTTGGATGCTGTTAAAAGCATTCAGTTTTATGTATTCACAAATATATCGTTTGGAATTGGAACTTCTGTTTGAAAAAGAAGCATTCCACTAACTGACTCTCCAGATGTTGCTTGATTGCAGTTGAAGAGATAAAGGGGTCCTTGGCCTTCACTGTTTCCCTGAACAGTTATCTTCTCTCACACTCTTATCCTCTGGGGCATTGCCAATCTATGGCCAAAGTCTCTTGGAGCAAAACTCCTACTCTCATCTCTCAGATCATTTCAAGTGCTCAACTTGTTGTCAGCTTTGGACTGCTCCTATAGATTGAAAATTCTGCCAGGTTTTGTCCATGATGCTGAGTGTGAGCAGCTCAAAAATTTGTTTGCTATCTTCTTCAGTTTGAGATTGTTTTATGAACAAATGACCAATATCATGTCAAGGTCATCTAGCCTTCCTATCCCACGGGAGGGGTAGCAGGGGAAGTGTGAAGACTGGGTCCCTGTCTCCATGACCTACTTTGGTATTTTCCCCAAGGAGCTTGGCAGTCTCATCTCTAGAGTCAGTCTCTGAAACATGGGTGGTTAAAGAGAGAATGGCAGAATAGAGAAGAGGCCAGGATTGTGTCTCTCTCATCTGATATAGTTTTATGGATTCAAGGACCTTAAAGGGCAAAGCCTGCCTCTGCTGCCCCCAAAACTACGTAATATGAGCTTCTAACATCAGCTGAATCCTTGGATTGGGGAAGAAATCCTCCCATAAGGAATTCACATGACTTTCCTGACCACTGAGTGTAATATTTCTGGTTTCCATGTGAGTATGAGACTTTCCAGGACCAGGCAGTGGATAGTAGGCAGCAAACTGAAGACAACCCACATACAGGCTTTCTACCCAAAATGGTCTACCCCAGTGACTTCCCAAGTTTACTTGGCGGGTATATTTTTTTTGTTTGTCTTTATTCCAGGTTTTTCTACAGGCTTTTTGATCAGCCATTCCCTGCGTGACTGACTTACTTTTTTTTTTTTCCTCAGAGTTTTCCTTCAGAACCTCCTGTGTTTAGCTTCTGAATCCCATGGTAGGTTATTTTGGTCCCTCCTCAAGGTATGTCTCATACATCTCCCCAGGTCTTTCCCTACCTGGATCCTCACTAGCTGGGACCCTTACATGGCAGCCTCCTGGGTGCTTCTATTAATATACAATCTTGGTCTTTTAGTATTTGAATACAGAGGGCTGTGAGAGCTTTCCTTGGTTATTTCCCCCAAGGCTGCATCAGTGCCAGAGGTGCTTGGATGATGTAGGGCTGGCCTCCCTGTTGTTGAATAAATTATTATTGAAGGTAGTTCTCCAGCTGCTTCTGGATCTGTTTACTGATTGTACATTCTCCACGAAGGGTGCAGCCTGCCACACAGGCCTAAAGAAAGACAGACAGGGCTGTATGGGGGAAGGTTGTGCACTGAAGAAACGAGGACTTTCTGAGGTCGATGGACCAGAGAAGGTAACACCATGAACTTCCTAGGTTCTTTTGCAACAAGTGCCATTTTAGATGTTGAATTTTTATTGAGATGAGAGACTATCTCTTTCTTGGCACTAGAGAAGGATATGCCACACCCGAATCCATACTGATCTGGAGAGTGAGCAAGGCCTTCCCTTTAGCTAGATCCAATCTCTTAAGAGAGCAGTTGGATTTATTTTAAACAATATTGTTTGTTTTGAATCACTTATTTGATGACTTCTTCTAAGATAGGCCTCCTGATTTTTGGCACTTACTTTCTAACTTTCACTAAAATTCCTCATAGCCTCTCAAATCCTTTAAAAAATCAATAATGAGGCCATATTTTTGTCTTATATACCTAGGATAACGAGGCATTTAAGAAAGTTGTAATACAGCTTCATTATTAAGATTATTAACTGCTTTAATTAAGCACTGTGTAATTTCTCTACCTCCTCAATTCTTTCTTTTCTCAATTCTCACTTTATTTCCTTTCTCAATTCTCCTTTATTTTCAATTCAATTCTCATGAATCTGCCTTGGCTCAGGACACCCAGACCTTTTCCATCCATATATGCAACTTTACCAGAGTTGACAGCTCCTTTCTTTGCTAGTTTTCTTCCGTAGCAACAGCTTCTCAGTCGTCCTCTACTTCCAAAGGGCCTATCCCTCAAGTCTCACCTCCCATCTTCTTTGTCTTCACCACTGGAGGCCTTTCAGTTTCAAAAACCCCTTCCATACACCCTAGCATTATTTGTATGGTCATTTATGTCTTGATTCTAGCCCTGGCTGACCCTAGAGGCCATTTGCAAAGCACTCTTCAAAATCTGAATAAAGACGAGGTAAGATATTTTAAAATGGCATTCCAGGTGAGAAAAAGAGACTATAAAAATGGCTCACTGCTTTAATTTTCAAAAATGTCAATATTGTAAAAGAGATACAAGGCTGCCAACTGCTCCAGATTAACGGAAACTAAAGAGATATGATAACTTAATACAGTACATGGTCCTAGACTGCACCCTGAGCTGGAGGAAAATAAATTTTACAAAGTATATTACTGGGGAGGTAAATTTATAAAATTGAAGGAGTCAACACATTAAAGTTTCATGTTAACATTGAATTTAACGAATTGTCAGGATCACTGAAACTTATGGTATTTGCATATGATATTCAAATAAACACATTATAATATTACAACCCGCCATAGGAAAAAAAATTATTCAAACTGAATCAATCCATGGACACCAACTAGATATGCCTAAATGTTACTTGATTGATGATGTATTTATATGTAACACTAGAAAGGAGGTACAAGTCCAACATGCATACTAAAATCCAACAATACTGTCTTACAGGAAGCAAATGTTGAAGTGAAATATGTCTTGAAATTAATGAAGTTTCATTTAATTGAAAATATATTTTACACTAGTTCAATGTTTGTTTACATTTAAACTTAAATTAGTAAACTAAAAAATTTAAAACTCCATTCCTCAGACACTCTGCACATTTCAAGTGCTCAATGCCACATGTGGCTAGTGGCTGCCATATTGAACAGCTCAGGTCTAGAAGAAAGCATGAAGACTATTGCCTCATCTGTCCCTCTTCTCATTCTCCCATGGCGATTGTAGTCATGTTGGAGAGATGGAAAAGAAAAGATCGTGGAGTTGTTTCCTATGCTTTAATTCATAATTTCTGATAAAGAAGACAAAAGGAAGCATCTATTTTGGCACAAAAAGGAATGGATGAGTTAGTGTGTTGTCCACTGCATCTCTTTCCTACAGGCACTTCCTCATGCCTGATATGTTTCTGAAACTTTCTTGATGAGAGGGGTGCTGTTACCACATGGTAAGGCCAAAAAACCCCACAAAAAAACTGGCTTTTCAAAAACTAATAGTTGCACTAGGTTGTTTAAACTCTCTCAGCCTCATTTTGCTTATACATAAAATTATTAAACCCTTGTCTTATTCATGTCCCAGGTCTGTGTATGTATGAGGTAATAATATTTTGAAAACAAACGCTCTAAATGTTAAATATAGCAATAACATTACACCAATATACAATAGTTTTTATTTTCATGGTTACTTCTCTTAGCCGACACAAGGCCCATTTCTTATTCATCTCTTTTTAAAAAATTTCAATTCATTGCTTATTTTAGACATAGAAAAATTAGAAAAAATTAATGGAAGACACCTGAGAGGAAGCAAATTTTAATATTGTATTGCATATGCTAGAGGTCTGTTTTCTTTTTTCTTTTTTTAAAAAAAAAATAATGTGCTAGACAAAGAGTAAAGCCCTTCCATTTATACCATTTTTCTTTTTTAATTATTATTATACTTTACTTTAAGTATAATGTGCACAATGTGCAGGTTAGTTACATATGTATACATGTGCCATGCTGGTGTGCTGCACCCATTAACTCGTCATTTAGCGTTAGGTATATCTCCTAATGCTATCCCTCCCCCTCCCCCCACCCCACAACAGTCCCCAGAGTGTGATGTTCCCCTTCCTGTGTCCATGTGTTCTCAATGTTCAATTCCCACTTATGAGTGAGAACATGCGGTGTTTGGTTTTTTTGTCCTTGCGATAGTTTACTGAGAATGATGATTTCTAATTTCATCCATGTCCCTACAAAGGACATGAACTCATCATTTTTTATGGCTGCGTAGTATTCCGTGGTGTATATGTGCCACATTTTCTTAATCCAGTCTATCGTTGTTGGACATTTGGGTTGGTTCCAAGTCTTTGCTATTGTGAATAGTGCCGCAATAGACATATGTGTGCATGTGTCTTTATAGCAGCATGATTTATAGTCCTTTGGGTATATACCCAGTAATGGGATGGCTGGGTCAAATGGTATTTCTAGTTCTAGATCCCTGAGGAATCGCCACACTGACTTCCACAATGGTTGAACTAGTTTACAGTCCCACCAGCAGTGTAAAAGTGTTCCTGTTTCTCCACATCCTCTCCAGCACCTGTTGTTTCCTGACTTTTTAATGACTGCCATTCTAACTGGTGTGAGATGGCACTTATACCATTTTTCTTCCTCCTCCTTGAGGTAACTAACTATCATTATGAAGTTGGTGAATATCCTGCCCGTCAAAAGTCTCAGGCTTTCATGAGGCAGTATAGCATGGCATTGAAGATCGTAGATGCTGGGGCCAGTGCTGCCACTTTTTAATCATGTGACTTTGAGCAAATTCCATTCCTTAACTTCTCAGTTCCTTCATCTGAAAAATGGAAATAATAGAGTCTAGTCCATCTGGTTATTGTGAGGATAAAATTTATTCATGTTTCTAAAAGTTCGTATTAAGCTCTGCGTGAATGATAGCTATCATTATTATTATTAATATTACAAATATTTGTCCATGTGTATGGTCTATGTTTATATAAAAGGTAGCAATGTAGTTTTTTTTCAGTCAACATTACATCTTTGTGATGTACCCATGTTGATATATTCATACAGAGTGAATTAATCTTTACTCATTTATAGCATATTCTACTAAATGTTTATATCATAGCTTAGATTCTTTTCTCACTGACTGATAATTTTACTGTGTCTAGTGTTTCCATTATTATATCTGGAGAACCCTTGTATATAGTTCCTGGGATACATACACATCCTATTCATCTTTGTATTGCAGAAATTAGTGTCTTTCCAGACATAGTAGGTGTGGATGAGTCATTGTTAAAGTTAATTGACTTTTTATGTATTTACATCTTGGCTAAGCCCATGGTGAGTTCTCTGAGATAGGAATGATGGGCACAAACTGGATGCTCAATAAACTGCTGAGATCTGGGACACATGAGGTCAGGCACGTGGCTGGCACAGCCAATCTTCCATATGTGAGAGGTTAACATGCTGAGTGAAGGACGTATGTCAATTATTTGAGGAGCATGCGACACTGAAAGTCTACTTGAGCAAAAGAGGGTTGTTTTTAAAAGAGAACCTGTAGGTGACACTCATATTGACATGCCATTGTTCTTGGCCTTCTTTAAAGTAGATTTTGATTCTTCAGCTTGGAAAGAAAGGGATATTACTCTAATTTTCATGATGAATTGGAATCGGCAAGCCTCAAAGTTCTAACAAAAGAGGGATGCAGAAAGAACTCTTTGCAGTTTCCCAGTGATATCATGCCAGTCTATGCCTCCAAGGCTTTGCCCAATTCCTTCTGCTTAAAATGCCCTTCCTCCCTGGTGAGCCTCTAATAAACATCTGTAAGAAGGCTTCCAGCCTGGCCTTAGGTTTCTTCATATCATACTGTACTTTTCATATTAATAGTTAAATATTGAAAGTAATTCTGCCTCTAGAATTGATGACTAGCTTATATTGAGCCAACTGTTCTATCAAGAATAACTGGAAGAGTTAGATTAAAAAAATACCTTTTGTTCTAAGACACTGTGGAGCCAGGCAGCAAGGACTGGCAGGGTAAAGGGACTCTGGAGAAGGAAAACCCATTAAGGTGAACATGACATTTTGCACTGCTTTTCCCTTTGGAACATTTGCCAATTTATAGGTAATAAAGCTCTACAAAAAGTAAGGAGATTATAAATACAAAATTAATGCTATTGGTTACCCTTGAGGAAAAGGCAGGGTGTCTTGAGATAGGGCATAAAGGAGGTTTTTAAAGAACAGACTGTATTTTATTTTTTAAACTGGATTGTGATTAGATTGCTAATTGGTTCACTATTTTTCTTTAAATTCTCATATTTACATAATATATATGTGCATATATACAAGTATATAATATATTCTGCATCTTCATTTAGCAAAAAGAAAAGAAAGAAAGTAAAAGAAAGCAGGCCCTCAACTAATAGCTGTTATCCACAGAGAACATATTCCAGACCCCAGCACAATTGTGTACGTCAGCAATTGCCTCTGAGAGCTGCTAGAAAGCCTGCTTCTCACACCCATCTTTAGTAACTTCTGTTATTCCCCAGTGGTAATAGAAATCTCTAGGGCTGGAAGCTCCAAGTTGCTAATTTGTAGGGTTCTCATCCTTAAAATCTGTTAATCAGAAGCACACGTATTAAAATTGCATGTGTGGGCTCATTTAGGGGAGATTACGATATAATATGAAGAAGGTAATGATTAGGTATGGAAATAGAAGAAAGCATGAAGAGTCCAATTGTTCAGAGTCACCAGCATATAAAAATTCTTACATCCATATAGCTTTCTACATATACACAGATAATGATGTGTACATACATAAAGGGATTGTGGGTGTGAAAGTTAGGAAGGATAGATAGATAAGAATAAAATTTGATTAGGAAAGGGTATGGAGATGCTCATTAAGTTTATGAAGAGATAGATATACTTTGTGAGTTAAAGACAACATAAAGAAGTAAACAACAATGAGTAGGGAATAAAATGTAGAGAAGGAAGGAATCAAATAATCAATAAAGCTAACATTGCTTTAGGGGAAAAACTACATGAAACAGATTTCTTTTGGAAATCAAAATAGAAGAGGCTGTGGTTTAAACTACAAATTACATCTTGCTTCCAGATTTCCAAGAGTTTTTCCTTCATACCCTGTGATATGGTTTGACTGTGTCCCCACCCAAATCTCATATTGAATTGTAGTTCTCCACGTGCTGTAGGAGGGACTCAGTGGGAGGTAATTGAATCATGGGGGTGGTTATGCTCATGCTGTTCTCATGATAGTGAGGTAATTGAATCATGGGGTCAGTTATCTTCATGCTGTTCTCATGATAGTGAGTTCTCATGAGATCAGATGGTTTTATAAGGGGCTTTTCTTACTTTGCTTGGCACTTCTCTCTCCTGCTGCCATGTGAAGAAGGATGTGTTTCCTTCTCCTTCTCCTCCTGCTATGATGTTTCCTGAGGCCTCCCCAGCCATGTGGAACTGTGAGTCAATTTAACCTTTTTCCTTTAAAAGTTACCCAGTCTCGGGCACACTTTATAGCAGCATGAGAATAGCCTAACACATCCTACCTTAAGAAATAGATAAAGAATGGCCTTGGGAGAAAACTGTTGCCACCAGGCAATTGCCTTTTGACTGGGCACACACCTTTGTTGTCTCTATGGTTCCTTAATGTCAATATTACTTAATATATAATGCTTCAACTCAGAGAATGAGTAACTCCAAGTGTAACCACATGGCAGAGTTATGGATATTACCTTCAACAACTGAATTGTTAAGAAGGAAGAATGCTTGATCTTAAATCCCTAGAAAAAAACATAATATCTAATATTTCAGATATTTGTCAGTAACCCCTAGTTAATTTGATATTTAACTTTGGTGAAATATTATTCTTGGAATAATATTGGAATAAATACTTCTACTGAATCTGAGAAATACAATCGAAATCACCCAAACTAAATGTCTTTTTCTTAAAAAAAAAGTGGAGGAGGGGGCTCCTAAATGAAAATGATGTACTAAAGATTACATAAAATACAACATAAACATTTTATAAGGGGTAGACAGGAAAGTAATGAGCCTTTTGGGTCAGTAGTAAAAATGCAAGCACCCATTATGCATACAAAGAATCTATCCACATAATAAATAAATATATAAAAATGGACATGTGCATGCAAAGGAGGAGCTTTGACAACTAATTTCTAAACAGAGAGATTCACATCAGAAAATCATTCTTATTATGTTTCTCTCATCAGAACGTTGCTGGCATTTTCTAGCTGAAGGATTTATTTTTACACATTATCATGTATGTTCTCTCCTTGTTTTCTTAGAGACCTTAGGCAAGGTCAAAGAATTAGCATTACTCACTAAAATTTGGTAATTCCTTACCGTGTGAATGATTTCAAGAGGTGCTGCAAATTTTTTAGCAATTTGAAACAAAATTAATTAATTAGCATCTACTTTAATTTTTACAAGCACTTAAAATATTTGCCATATAATTTTTTAGGCAGAAAATGAGTTGTGCTATTAATTTTAAAGGTAAAAAGAGCCTGTTGCAACCCATTAAACCACCCTCCCATCTCCATTTAACAGCAACTTCAAAAGCTAGGGCTAACAGAAATATCCTGTGTCCATCTGATATTTCCACTTCTTCCCTAAAACATAGTGGCTTCACAAAAGTATTTATTATCTCACAGTCTCTGTTGATCAGAAATTTGCGGGTGATTGTTAGGGTGGCTCTGGCTTGGAATCTCTCATGGTGTTGCAATTAAGATGCTCACTGAGATTCCAGTGGCCTTTTGAACCTGTAAGATCCACTTCCAAGACTGTTCACTCCTATAGCTATTGATAGCAGGCCTTTCAGTTCCTCCCTGATTGTTGATAGAAGGCTTATGTTCCTTGCCACACTGCCTTCCTCATAAGGCTTCTAAGGCCTCTTGAGTAGTTTCATGTCATGGCAGCTGGCTTCTTCAGGGGCAGGTGATCCAAGAGAACAAGACAAAAACTACAGTGGCTTTTATAATCTAGCCTCGGTACTCATGCAGTATCATCTCCACAATATCCTATTGACTACTGTATTAGTCTGTTCTTGCACTGCTATAAAGAAATATCTGAGATAGGGTAATTAATAAAGAAAAGAGATTTAATTGGCTTATGCTTCTGCAGGCTGTAAATGAAGCATAGAGGTTTCTGCTTTTGAGGAGGCCCCAGGAAACTTCCGGTCATGGCGGAAGGCGATTGGGGAATGAGGCATCTCACATGGTGGGAGCATGAGCAAGAGAGAGTAGCGGGTGGGTGCTACACACTTTTAAACAACCAGATCTCATAAGAACTCTATCATGAGAACAGCACCAAGAGGATGGTGCTAAACCATTTATGAGAAATCTCCCCTATGATTCAATCACTTCCCTCCAGACCCCACCTCCAACACAGGGGATGACAATTTGACATGAAGTTTGGGTGGGGACACAGATCCAAATCATATCAACTACAAAATCAGTTTTACTCAATGTGGGAAGGTACTACCCTTTTTGGATAAATTAGGGGTCATCTTGGAGGCTGCGTTGCACAGTGTGCCCTCTGTCTCACAATGACTCACATATTTCCTACATCCAGTATCCACTGAACCCATGGTCAAGACCCCCCTGAAAGCCCCATTTTATTATACCACCAGCTCAAATTCCAGAATCTGTCATCTAAATAAAGACCTCATAACTAACGATACTTCTCAGATATAATTCCTTGAATACAGCTCCCTCTAGTATGGTTTCTTTTGATCATAAGATCTATGAACTATAGAAATAAGTTATCTGTCTCCCTGTACACCCAGCAGATAATGATCATGGGATAGTCCTAGGATAACGATTAAATATACTTTCATTCAAAAAGGGGAAAAATGAGAGGCACACGGGTGTCGCTGAAATCCCAACAAACCAATGTTGGAAGTTCCTTCATTAGGACTCAGTTGTATTCCTGTCTGGGAATAACTGTATGGCCCTTCGCTCTGCTCTCTGGGCTCTTGGTTCCATCCCCTCAATTATCCTTCTTCTTCCATGAAAAATAGTCTATATTTACAGCTGCAGTGCTTTCTCAGCCTTCTAGTCAACAGAATCTTGAGTCTAGATGCATTTTAAAAAATTTTATCTTATCTCTATTCCTTCCAGTCCAAGCTGGCAGTGTTTCTGCCAATCTAATAATTAAAAAACAAAACTCTGTGGGCCCATTATGAATCATTTGGAATTTAATCTTTTTATAAAAGCCACACCCACAAACCTATTTACTATCTCAGCCTTTTCTTGAGACTGTGGAGGGGCAACACTTTCAAACTTCTTACAAGTCTTACTGTTTGATTGAAGGTTCTCTGAGGTGCCACCTTAACTCTTCCAAAGGTGTTAATAATGATTTTTACTGCTGCCCCCTTGGCTTTATCCTTAGATCACGTTTGCCTGGCAGGCCATTGGGTTTCATCTTTGCATGGAAATCATTTCTTAATTTTAGTATTTTTGCCATCTGGAAAAATTTTCAGGACCACCAAGTCTTGTCTGTTTTTTGTTTAACAATTTTTTTTAGGTTATCTTTTACCTCTTTCATTTTGCTGTAATCAGGAAGAAGTTTGGGAAAACTCCATAGCAGATCATTTTCAATTCATTAATCACATTTCTCTTTTCCACATGACTGCAGGTAATAGTGTTGGTAAACTTTCTACCAATTCATAACAAGAATTCCTTTACCCTCATTCTCCTTTAATGCCTCATAATCAGCCTCCTCAAAAGCCCTCAGGCTTCCCCCCCTACAGTCTGCTCAAGGACCGTTAGGTTTTCACTCTCCTCCCTTCAAAGTTCTTCCACATTCTTCCCACTGCCTGGATTCAGAGCCACTTCCACATATTTAGGTATTTGTTACAGCATTAGGTAGCTATTGTTGCTTAACAAATTATCACAAACTTATGGGTTTAAAAATAATAAACACTATTTCTGATTTTCTGTCATCATGAATTTAGAAGTGACTTAGCTGGTTAGGTCTGGCTTGATGTCTGTCTCATAGTTGCTGTCAAGGTGTTAGTGTGGGCTACAGTCATCTGGTGCTAGAGGGTTCATTTCCAAGATGGTTGATTCACATGATGATTGGGCAGGAGGAATCTGTTTCTTCTTGACTCTTTTCAGGAGGTTTTAATTCCTCACCATATGGCCCTACCCATGGGATTTCCACAGGATTTCTTGAGTTTCTAGCAATACGGAAAGTGTCTTCATCAACAATGATGGTCAAGGAGAGTAAGATAGATGTCTCGATATCTTCTATGACATAGCTTCATAAATTACACATCATCATTTCTTCATTGGCCTGCTGGTTACACAAGTTAGCAATGTTCAACATGGTAGGATACTTCACAGGCTTAGGTCTCAAGATGAAGGAATCATTGCAAGCACAAGGATATTGTTAGCACAAGGATATTTGCATTTGCTTTTGCCTCAACTTGGGCCACCTTTTCATCAGATCTTTGCAAAGGTGACACCTCACCATTTAGGTCGCTGATCAAATGTCACCTCTCAAGACATTCTTTCTTTCCCACCGTATCTTATATTTTCTCAATGCTTCTTTTATATTATACTATTTTACTTTCTTCATAGCTTTTATTGTTGAGATAATGGCTCAAACGTTTCTGATTACTTTTTTCTTTTCTTTTTTTTTTTTTTTTTGGTTTGTTGTCTGCCAATAGAACTGTAAGCTTCTGGAGTGAAGGAACTTGTCTATCTTTCTCACTGTTCTATCATCAGTGCTTAGAATAAGGCTAAGAGTTAATAAATATGTGTTCAGTGAATGAAGAAATGCACTCCACATGAATTATAAATTACATTTCTCTTTATAATAGTCTATTTCAAGAAATAATTTAAGCCAATGCAGAAAGACGATGGCATTATCCAATATGGAACAATATACCATTAACAAGGAGCAAGTTCTGAGCTGCTTGGGCAGCTCAATGGAATGTTTTATAATTATTTAGATTCTTTTAACGTTTTCAAAGTGGAGCCACATAAGAATGAATTTTTTTAACTGAGCAAGATTTGAAAGGCCCTGCCTGTTTCTGCAAGAACCTGAGACTCATGCTAGAATATTAAGGCACAGACTACACAGGTTACAAATCAATGTAGAATACCATGGGCATAGTGATGTGGACATGGTAGAGAGCGAATACTTTTCAGAAAATATTAAGAGACCATCTGGCAGAGTCTCATAGAATGTCTAGCAATTGGGAATGTAAAGGAAAGTAAAACACTGCAAACCACTGAATAGCTATGTAATAACATCAAGAATCTATGGATGAGAATCAACAAAATTGAGCAATATGAGGATAGAAAAACTTAAAATTGTCTACTTGTTATTTCTTCGCCTTGCATTCTGTTAGATAATTTTATCAACATAGAAGTTGAGTTTTACATATTAGTCAGGATGTGTTAAATGGAAACCACAGATACACAACTAAAACTAGATTAAACACATACAATTGTTTTTTCTATGTAGCACATCAATCTTCATAATAAAAACAACTGAGAAAAACTGGAGAAAACACAATAACCATCTGTTGGAAATATTGTTAAGCCATCAAAACAGCCAGCCCTTGATGGGCCAACATCTTAGTGAGAAGAGGAATTCACTGAAGTGAACATGACATTCTATGCTGGGTTATTTTGTTGCTTCAATCTATGTGCTGATTCATAAACAGCATTGCTGACAACTAATAAATCGAGCAGAAAGAGTCTACTGAGAAGTATAGAAGCTGAACATAGCCTTCAGCAGTCTCATGGGCTTAGGGAGAAACATTTTGTCATTCAGGGCTAGCAAGGCAGCTCAAGGTTGGGAGGGGGGTCACAATTTTGAAGAGGAGAGAAACTCAGAGAAGTAAACCTGACAGTGTGAGATGCTTTTCCCTTAAAGAATCTGTCATTCATAAGTGAAACAGACTGAACATCTGGGGAACTGAGCAGATAACAGTTGCTAAGTGCCTAAAGATCTAAGTATACTTATCAGTAGTCCAACTGTGATGAGAGATAAAAATTGGAACTAAAAGCCTACCCAAATTAGAAGACCCTAGTAAACAGTCCAGCCTTCCATTGAGACATCTGAGCTATAAATAGATCAATCCTTTAAAAGTTAATTGTAATATGCTGTGGGTCTCTTTGGATTTATCCTATTAGGTGTCCATTGAGCTTCCTGGATCTGAATTTCTATTTCCTTCCCCAGACATGGACAGTTTTTTGCCATTATGTCTTTGAATGTATTTTCTGTTCCTTTCTCTCCGTCTTTTTAGTAGTCCAAAAATATATGCATTATTTAGCTTGATGGTGTCCCACAAGTCCCTCAAGCTATCTTCACTCTTTTATATATTTTTCTTTTTACTCTTCAGATTGAATTATTTCCATTGATCTGTCTTCAAGTTTTCCTGTATTTTATTCTGCTTGATTTAGTTTGATTTAGAATCCCTCTGTGGAATTTTTGAGTTCAGCTATTATATTTTTCAGCTTTATGATTTCTGTTTAGTACTTTTAAATATTTTCTTTTTGTTGAAATTCTGTTTTTTAAGCATTGCTCTTTATACCTCAGTGGCCATCTATATGACTGATTTTTGAATTCCCTGTTAAGTAAATCACATTCTCCTTTTCACTACAGTTGGTTTCTAGAGATTTACTTTGTTCTTTTATTTGGAACACATTACCTTGTTTCTTAATTTTTTTTTTGATTTTCTGGGTTGGTGTCTGCACATTAGATAAGACAACCACCTCTCCCAGAATGAAATATGATCCCAAATCAACTTAGGGTAAGCCTGGATAAAGTTGATTTATTCTGACATCCTGGGTGAAGCTAAAAAGAATCTTCTCCTGGAGGAAAGCCACATTTCCCAAGAATTTTAACTTTTCTTTAAAAAAAAAATCTCACAAGGCATAAAATTCATTAAAAATTCACAAGGCATACCAAGAGATAGAAACAAGCGGAAAAGCAGACAACAGAAACAGTCACATAGCTGATCCAGGCATTAAAATTATATTGACTGTATTTTAAAATAACTGACTATTATGTTCAATAAAGAGATAAAAAGAGAGAGAAAAATGGTGAAGAGGCGGCAAGATTAACTTGCAGCTCCTACTTGGACAGGCAGAGCAGCATGTGGAGACTCAAATTATGAAATTTTTTTCCCAGAACTACCACAGAAACATACCAGGAAAGCTGAGAGAATCCACAGATCCTTTGAAGGAAGTGGCTTGCTGTTGCAGGCTCCTTGAGACAGCCAAAAACTGTGAGTACTCAAAGTGTGAGAGGGGGAATGTCTACCCCAAACACACATTCTCACTGGGGAACCTGAAGGTCCAGATCATGGGAGAAGGATTTGACCTTACCTGGAGTTGAGATGAATTTAGAGAGCTGAGCGAAATGTAGGGGTACAAGAAGCAGCAGGAAGAGCTCTGTAGACACTATTGGTCCCCAGGGAAACAATTCCTGACTTTCAGGGGTCCTTGGGGAGGGCTGCCAGTGGAACTGTGGAAAAACCACAGGGAGAAGGAAACTTTCACATAAACTTTGTAACAATTTTGACCAAATGCATGGTGTCCTGGACAGCATCCGGGGTGGGGGGAGGGGTGAATGGGGAGTGCAGATACAAGCACAGAAACTGCTGCAGGTGGGAGGTGTGAAATCTGAAAGCCCTGCTTACTTTCTCAGTCAGGAGGCTTGTAACCTGGGGCAAGTTCTCAGCCCTGCTCACCAGTTGCCTGGAAATGAACTCAGTGCTATTGAGGGGGGACAGTGGGAGTGAGACTGGCCTTTTGGGCTACGTGGGAGCTGGATGAGGCCTGTCGCTTCTGGCTTTCCCCCATTTCCCTGGTGACTGCTACAATGCAGCAGAGGCAGCCATAATCTCCCTGGGGATGTAACTCCATTGGCCTAAGAACCACACCCCCTTCCCCCATAGCAGCTACAGCAAGCCCCGCTCAAGGAGAGTCTGAGCTCAGACACACCTAACCCTGCTGCAACCTGATGGTCTTTCTCCACCCACCCTTGTAGCTGAAGACAAGGGAAATAATTTCTTGGGAGGTCTGTGGTCCCACCTACTACCTGAGAAACCCAAATACTTATCCAGGCAACCCTAGGGCAAACTTGCATCTTCCCTATACTACTGCAGCTGATGCTCTATTGAAAGTGCCACCTCCTGGCTGGAGGCAAACCATCACAAAACCAGCACAGTAAACAAAACTACCACCAAGGACCTTCACGGAGTCCAGTTCACTCTCCTGCTACCTCCACCAGAGCAGGTGCTGGTGTCCATAGCTGAGAGACCTGAAGATGGATCACATCACAGGACTCTGCAGACACTTCCCAGTACCAGCCTGGAGCCTGGGAGCCCCACTGGGTGGCTAGACCCAGAAGACAAATAACAATCACTGAAGTTAGACTCTCAGGAAGCCCCATCACTAGGGAAAGGAAGAGAGCACCACATTAAGGGAGCACCCCATGGGAAAAAGGAATCTGAACAAAGCCCTTGAGCCCTGGATCTGCTCTCTGACATAGTGTATCCAAGTAAGAAAGACTCAGGAAAACAATCCTGGTAATATGACAAAACAAGGGTATGAAACACCCCCAAAAGATCACACTGTCTCACCAGCAATGGAGACAAAATGAGAATAAATCTCTGAATTGCCAAAAAAAAAAAAGAGAATTTAGAAGGTTGATTATTAAGCTGCTTACGGAGGCACCAGAGAAAGGTGAATACAAACTTAAATAAATTTTTAAAAAGATACAGAATATGGACAGAAAATTATCCAGAGAAATAGATAGCATAAATAAAACACAATCACAACTCCTGGAAATAAAGGACACACTTAAAGAAATGCAAAATACACTGGAAAGTCTCAGCAATAGAACTGAACAAATAGAAGATAGAACTTTAGAGCTTGAAGACAAGGCTTTTGAATTAACCCAATGAGGCAGAGACAAAGAAAAAAGGATTAGTCCAACAGCAAAATATGACAATCCTAAATATATATGCCCTTAATGCTGGAGCTCCAAAATTTATAGGAGAATAACTACTAGACCTAAGAAAGGAGATAGACAGCAACACAACAATAGTGGGGGATTTCATTACTCTCTCAACAAAGAAACAATGGACTTAAACTATACCCTAGAACAAATGGACTTAACAGATATTAACAGAACATTCTACCTAACAACTGTAGAATATACATTCTATTCATCAACACATGGAACATTCTCCAAGATAGAACATATGATAGGCCACAAAACAAGTTTTAATAAATTTTAAAAAGTAAACATTATATCAAGCACTCTCTCAGACCACACTGGAATAAAATTGAAAGTCAAATTGAAGAGGAAGTCTTAAAACCATGCAAATACATGGAAATTAAATAACCTGTTTCTGAATGACCATTGGGTAAACAATGAAATCAAGATAGAAATTAAAAAATTCTTTGAATTGAATAATAGTGACACAACCTATCAAAACCTCTGGGATACAACAAAAGCACTGCTAATATGAGAATTCACAGCATTGAAGGCCTACATTGAAAAGTCTAAAAGAGCACAAATAGACAATCTAAGCTCACACTTCAAGGGACTAGAGAAACGAAAACAAACTAAACCCAGATCCAGCAGAAGCAAATTAACAACAATCAGAGCAGGACTAAATGAAATTGAAACAAACAAAAATACAAAAGATAAATGAGACAAAAAGCTGATTCTTTGAAAACTTAAAATTGATAGACCACCAGCAAGATTAACCATAAAAAGGAGAAGAAGACCCAAATAAGCTCGATTAGAAACAAAATGGGAGATATTGTAACTGATATCACAGAATACAAAAGATCATTGAAGGCTACTATGAACACCTTTATGCACACAAACTAGAAAACCTAGAGGAGATGGATAAATTCCTGGTAATATACAACACTCCTATATTAAACTGGGAAGGAACAGACAAATAACAATGGTGATTAAAAAAATTGCCAACAAAAAGTCCAGAACCAGTCAGATTCACAGCTGAATTCTATCAGACCTTTAAAGAATTGGTACCAATCCTATCGACACTATTCCAAAAGATAGAGAAAGAGGGAATTCTCCCTAAATCATTCTATGAAGCCAATGTCACCGTAATACCAAAACCAGGAAAAGACATAACAAAAAAAGAAAACTATAGACTAATATCCCTGATAAATATAGATGCAAAAATCCTCAACAAAATACTAGCTAATCAAATCCAACAGCATATCGAAAAGATAATCCACCATGATCAAGTGGGTTTCATACCAGGGATGCAGGGATGGTTTAAAATATGCAAGTCAATAAATGTGATATACCACATAAACAGAATTAAACCAAAAAATCACACGATCATCTCAATAGACACAGAAAAAGCATTTCACAAAATCCAGCACTTCTTTATGATTAAAACCCTCAGCAAAATTGGCACAGAAGGGACACACCTTAAGGTAATAAAAGCCATCTATGACAAACCCACAGCCAACATTTCACTGAACAAGGAAAAGTTGAAAGCATTCCCTCTGAGAACTGGAACAAGACAGGTATGTCCACTTTCACCACTTCTATCCAACATAGTACTGGAAGACCTAACCAGAGCAATCAAATAAGAGAAAGACATAAAGGGCATCCAAATCAGTAAAGAGGAAGTCAGACTGTCACTGTTCACTGATGATAAGATTGTATACCTAGAAAACCCTAAAGACT